>NC_000010.11:19858484-20010000 GCF_000001405.40 Homo sapiens | reverse complement strand
GCCTTTCCCCTAACCACTATCTCATGTCACACCACAACAATTCTAATCTAAATTTAACTCATCTTTTCACTCCTAGATTTGGGATTTCTGATTCAGTTCCCATAGCAATCAGGTAGGAGCATCATTGCAAACTTGCCTTTCTGTATTTAATATTGTATAGCAGTTTCCAAGTACCTTCCTGATAAATTCTAAACACCTTAGTGTCGTACACAATGAAGTTTAAAATCTTGCTCCTGGTTATCTGTGTAAAACACGCTATCTAGTATGACCTTGACACCTGGCTATCTTCTGACACTTTCTTCGTGACTTGGTTCAGATGACACCTCATCACTGCATTAATCCTGCCTCTCTACAGAACAAAGGTCTCCTTCTGCCTATTCATGAACCAATGCAGTATTTCTCCTTTTCAATTACGTGCTTTCACATGCTTTCATTCTCATCTTCTGTGGAAGCCAACCTGACACCTACAAGCATTTGGAAGATTTCAATACACTTGGAGGTCCAAGATGTGCACTTCTTCAGGATTAATCTTTGCCTTCCCTTTGCACAATTTTCTGATTTTGCAGCCACATGTTAAACATCTATCAGTTTAAGATCCCCCCAAAAGGAAATATTTCACACACAAAAACTCCATCAGATTTTCACATTCGTAATAAATATAGTAAAAGGACTGTTCAATATCAAAGGATACTTTCTTTTGAAAAATGTCAAAAATCTACACTATCACATTCTCCTTGTACGTGTTTTATTCTAAGAATTCACTGAGCACAATAGTAGTGTAAAGACAGAACCAGCATAGCAGCATTCTGCAAAATTTTATCACTCTATTTCTGTGAAATGGGATGATGTCTTACTACTCCTTTATAGTTACATTCATTATTGTAACTGTCAGACCTCTGAAATTGAGTGAGCTTCCTTAGGCTTAAAATATAGAAGAGGAGTAAGATTTTCCACATCTATGGATAATCCAATGTACTCTCTTGTATTAGTCCGTTTTCAAGCTGCGAATAAAGACAAACCCAAGGCTGGGTAATTTATAAAGAAAAAGAGATTCAATGGACTCACAGTTCCACACGGCTGGAGAGGCCTGACAATCACGGCAGAAGGTGAAGGAGGAGCAAAGTCATGTCTTGCATGGCGACAGGCAGGGAAACTCTGTTTTATGGAACCATCCGATCTCAAAAGACTTGTTCACCATCATGAGAACAGTATGGGAAGAGCCTGCCCCTATGATTCAGTGATTTCCCACTGGGTCTCTCCCACAACACATGGGAATTATGGGAGCTATACAACTCAAGAAGAGATTTGGGTGGGGACATAGCCAAACCACATCATCTCTATACCGCAAACATAACATGGAGATTCTGTCCACATCAACATTACAAAATTTGCTTTTTCTTCATAAAATCATCATCAACACAATCACATTTTTTATTTTTATTTTTTCGAGACAGAGTTTCACTTTCGTCACCCAGGCTGGAGTGTCATGACACGATCTCGGCTCACTGCAACTTCCGCCTCCCAGGTTCAAGCAGTTCTCCTGCCTCAGCCTCTCGAGTATCTGGGACTACAACACGCACCACCATGCCTGGCTAATTTTGTATTTTTAGTAGAGGCAGGGTTTCACTATGTTGGCCTGGCTGGTCTTGAACTCCTGACCTCAAGTGGTCCACCTGCCTCGGCCTCCCAAAGTGCTGGGATTACAGGCGTAAGCCACCACGCCTGGCCTACATTCTTTTTTTAGATTAAGTATTTTCTGGTGACTTATTTCCTCTTAAACAGACTTTCTAGTTAAAGGCTGCAATCAGCTATTAGAGCCCACACAATGACCTTGTGTACAGCAATTAGCAACTGGTAAAATTTTTAAAGAAACATATTGCACAATTTGTAAAAATAAGATGCCAACACAACTGGCAGTGTATGTGTGATAGCCGAAGATCAAAGAGAGTTTTTAGGAATGCATTTAAGAGAAAAACTGTTTATCTCTACTTTTTAGCTAAATCTATCACACATATTTGTTGATCATTCTTGACTGTACTTTCCTCAGATATGAACTTCCATGCACATGAATAATACAACAGTTGCTGGATACAACTGACATTTTTAATTAGGTACCAGAATGAGAATTCCATGAAACATACTGTTGGCAGGCACCTAAATTTAAGCTAAGATTTCTGCTCTCAAAACTAATAGCTAAATCCTTGCAACCCAAAGTGTGGCCTATGGCCTACCCACAACTATATCACCTGAGACCTTATTAGAAACAGAATATCAGACCGGCTCAAGCCTAGAACTAAGAAATCAGAATATGCATTTTAACCAGATTCCCAGGTGATTTGTAAGCTTGTTAAAGTTTCAGAGGCATTGGCCTAGCTCCCAATCTCTGAGTCACTTTTATCATGAAACTGTACTAATATGATCCATAATACCTATTTTTAAAACCTCCCTTCTTCAGTCATCCAGTGGCTTTTGAGTCAAGGCAAAAAATCACACAGTACAGTCCTTTTAATAAACACTTTCAATGTCCCAAGAGTGGAAATAGGACACTTCCAAATATTGCATGTGAATAAGTGTTCAAAACCACATATCTGGTCTAGCATGTCACAAAGGACTTTGAGACTGATTTCTATAAAGTGAAGAACACTATAAGTGACCAACACTATTCTACAGCAATAGGCTGATGAAACTGAGCTTTATTAAGCATCAGTAATTTCAGCCAACACTGTCAAAGCACTCTCCATCCTATGAGGTGCTATCATTGCTATGAGAGCTTCATGCCAGATAATGGGAAGGTGCCAGCTTCCAGGGGAAGATGCTTGCCCTGCTCATTTACACATATGTCCCTGAGTTGTGGAATTCAGTGAAGGCTGCTCCAACAAGGCCAAATCATGAATGGAATCCAATCCTGCCTGAAAGCCCTGTAAGCCTTTATATTCCCAAAATAATTATACAAAGTAGCACATGCAGTGACTATTTCCCGACACCTCATTTTTAATACCTACACTTCAGCAGAAGGTACTTTACTTCTCACCTGGCTAAGTGGTTATACGTCCGTATGAATGAACAGAGGAAATACAAGAAGAAAGGTCTCACAGAAATCAACATTCAGATCAATAGCGGCATTTGCCATCTGTTGGGCCCCTGCTTATTCAACAGGATATACAGTTGGCTTCTAGAGATTTTATATGCTCATGGGAAGAATATTAGACAATGAAAACAATAACAACAACAAAACCTTAACTGGAAGAATTCTTTAACTGGGCTACCAAGTTTTACAATCCTTCCATTATCTGTTCTTGTGAAGAGCCAGAAAAAATACTGTCACCAAGTACCAAGTGAAGAGAATAACAGCCTTTGTGTCAAAACAGTAAACATGCTATTGTCTTGTGTTGGTTTGGGATTTTTGTTGTTGTTGTTGTTTTATTTAAGTTAAAGTAGAACATAAAGTCGAGACAATGAAAAAAAATGAGGAGAACATCTGAGGAATACCATTCTGGGTGGTTTTTGTCTCACTGTGATACACATAATTTTAACAGCCACTACTGCAGTCAGGGCTACGAGACAAAATAATTCTGACCCCTGAAACTGAGTTTGAAAGCGTCTAAAGGAAAAAAGCACACAGAGTCTTTCTAGCTCATTGTTTGTATTTAGCAATATAAACCAAAAAGATAAGCAAGACCTTGTAACAATGCCAGGCACAGAGTATTCACTTTATAACCATTTGGTTTCTTTCTTATTTCTGTTTAACAATGGGGCAAAACTATTTTCCCCAAAAGAGATGCAACCGTGTTCACAAATGCCTTTTTTACCTTTTTTTTTTCTTAGACTGAGTCTCGCTCTGTTGCCCAGGTTGGAGTACAGTGGTGGAATCTCAGCTGGCTGCAACCTACACTCCCGTGCTCATGCAATTCTCATCCTCACCCTCCTGAGTAGCTGGGATTACAGACACTCGCCAGCTAATTTTTGTATTTTTAGTAGAGATGACGTTTCACCTTGTTGGCCACGCTGATCTCAAACTACTGACTTCAGGTGATCTGCGCACTTCAGCCTACCAAAGTGCTGGGATTACAGGTGTGAGCCACTGCGCCTGGCCCACAAATACCATTTCAAGAGCCAGGATACGTAAAACTTTCTGATATGGTTTGTGTATTTGTCCCTTCCGAATCTCATTTGGAAATGTAATCCCAGTGTTGGAGGTGGGGCCTGGTGGGAGGTGTCTGAATCACAGGGGCAGATCCCTCATGAATGGCTTAGTGCCATTCCCTTGGTGATGAGTGCGTTGAGGAGAGATCTGGTTGTTTGAAAATGTGCAGCACCATGCCCCTCACTCTCTCTTGTTCCTGCTCTCATCATGTGACACGCCTGCTCCCACTTCACCTCCTGCCATGGTTGAAACCTTCCTGAGGCCACACCAGAAGCCAAGCAGATGCTGGAGCCATGCTTCCTGTAGGGCCTACAGAACCGTGAGCTAAATCAACCTCTTCTCTTTATGAATTACCCAGTCTCGGTATTTCTTTATAGGAAGGCAAAAATGGCCTAGTACACTTTCCAAACTTTCAGAGGTAGATTTTTGTTTCCGCAACTAGTGGCAGTGCCAAGGAGCTACTTGAGGACTTTAGATCCCAATAATCTCCATCAATCCCCAGAACCCCAACAAAATAAATGAATCTTGAAATAAAAGCAGTGTTCTTAGTATGCAACCCTGGATTCAAAACAAGTCTTTTATGAGCCAGACTGAAACCCCACAATTACCCTCCTATGGATACTCATGGGCTGCTGCTGTTCAAAATCACTACATAATTCAAGTGTCATTTGTCTTTCCTTTTGCTAGAAAGAGCAACGTCAAGCCTAGAGGATCAACCCTGTAAGCCTGGCAAAGCTTGCATTTGAATACCAGCAGGGTTTGAATGCTCATTAATGGGAGACCTTAGGAAAATACTAAAACCTAACTCTGAAATTGCCCTCGTGTAAAAAAATCATTGAAATTGCCCAGAAAACACAGGGACACAAATCTTTCAAGGCTGCTGTGGACCAAACAAAAGAGCATCCACACAGTACCTGGCAGCTCTTAGCCCTGGGTGAGTACCCACCAAACAGTCCCCTGGGCCATCCTTCTGCCCTCTTTTTACTGATTCAAACCTGACACTTTGTGGTCTCCCTCTGTTAAGGTAGAAAGTAGAAAAATTGGCTGAATCACAAAATTACAGCTACAGTAACCACCGGGATTGTATTTTCAGGAGTGTTAATATACCCCCAATCAAAGAGATTTCTTATTTTATAAATGATTAAGAAAATTCAGCACCCCACAGGAGAGATTACAGAGTTCTTGGAATCTGTGTTCTCCTCTTTCCTTTTTCGAAGAAATTTAAAAGTCTTTACATACTTAGGGGGTGCAGATTTTTTGCATTTTGTCGTGGCAAAGTCTGGGCTTTTAGCCGAATAGGGATGTGTTTTTCCCTTTCAATATCCATCGAGTCCTAGTTCTGGGCAGAGAGTAAACGCCTCTGCTTCTATTCAGTTCTCCTTTCTTGATGCTGCACCCCAGCTAAAGAGTGGCTCAGGGAAGAATTATGTTGCCTACCCCAAGTTGCTATAACATCATCATTGCCAAAATAGCAGGCCACTCTGCAGGAGTCAGAATAGCCTCTTATAGATATCATAAGACTTCTGCTCCTGACACATCAACCGTTGCCTGGTAAGCGACCTGCCTGGGGCAGCCTGCCAACACCATGGCCACATAATAGCTAATGCCATGGAGTGGGGTTTGAGAAATTGCTGTATTTTTCAAATATACTGAATTCCCACAGCCTATACTTCAGATCTTTTGAAGATTTCTCTCACTGTGAGGGAACAAAATGATGCCTTGATACTATTTGCAGGACTAGGTAATATCTGCTTCAGGAAACTGAGTTTTTTTTCTTAAATAATGAGTATTTCAGGGATTGTGGTGCAGTAAAAAGAATGCTGCCTGGTTCTTAAAAATCATAAGCCTGTCAGCTCAGAGAAAGTAGGAACTGAAACTTCAGGTTGAGAAAGAATGTACCAGCACGCAATGAGCAGACCGTACGTGACGACAGAACTCTGATGCAACCTCTCCAGCAGCCAGTTCAGGAAGCCACACCACAGCCTTGGCAGTAGTCAGCCCGGAAAGGTCAGGACTTCCTTAGTAACTGAGAGCTTCTCTATTTCTTTGTCTTCATACCACTCTCAGGACCAACCATCAAAAGCCAAAGATGTTCCTCAAACTAATAATAAAAGATGCTGTTTCTTGCTGGGTGCAGTGGCTCATGACTTTAATACAAGCACTTTAGGAGGCCGAGGCAGGTTGATCACTTGAGGTCAGGAGTTCAAGACCAGCCTGGCCAACATGGTGAAACCCCGTCCTTACTAAAAATACAAAAATTAGCCGGTGTGGTGGTGCACACCTGTAATCCCAGCTACTCAGGAGGCTGAGGCAGGAGAATGGCTTGAATCCAGGAGGCAGAGGTTGCAGTGAGCCGAGATCATGCCACTGCACTCCAGCCTGGATGATAGAGCGAAACTCAGTCTCAAAACAAACAAACAAACAAACATGCTGTTTCTAATTAGCCTACCTCCAGGTTTGCCATGCCAACAACCTCTGGTCAGAGTGCATCTGAACCTTCTATTTTTCACCAAAAACCTTCCCACTCCCTGAGCTGCCTTTATATCTCTGCTGAAAACAAGTGATGGCAGCCGAAGCCGTGCCTGAGCAAACTGGATAAATCACCTCTGTTTGTTCTCATTTGGGTGGTCTTCGCTTTTTTGCCCAAGTTTACTTGCTTGTTTCTGTTGTACCTAGTTTACAAGCAAGATCATATTTTGTGATTTGCAGTGCTAAGGACTACAGAAACTTAAGAAATAACACCACCTTTGAGGCCTTCGAGCAACCCTGAAATCTGCCTAAAATGCACCCTCTGCAAATGTCTGTACTTAGCAAACTGTTCTCTGACCATTCTCCTCCCTCCGCTTCATAGCTCCAACCATAATAAAGAATAACTCACAGTCAGAGGGACCAATCATCCCAGTTTGTCCAGAACTGTTCCATATTTAACACTGGAAGCCATCCTACGTTCCAGAAAACTTCTCGGCCCCAAGCCACTGGAACCAGTGGTCACCCTATGAGACAGTCCTGGAGATGTCATTCTACACCTCAGCCACTGCAGAGGAAATTTACTCTGCCTAGCATGCCCCTCCCTCTTCCCATAAACAGGTCATCAGTTAGGTGAACTCCTCTCAATCTGTCAAGCCCCCATCTAAATGCCAAGTTCTAGGCTAAGCCTCTTTGACAACACCCCAACTCTCAATCCCAAGCAGTTTCATCACACTCTCCTTCATGCTACACTACAGCCTGCATACTTTGATTGTACATATCACATGGCCCTGGGATGATTTGCTTATGGCACTTAGATGCTGTTACACAGGACCAGGTGAGGTGGCTCATGCCTGTAATCCCAGCACTTTGGGAGGCCTTCGTGGGTGGATCACTTAAGGTCAGGAGTCCAGACCAGCCTGGCAAACATGGTGAAATGCCATCTCTACTAAAAATACAAAAAATAGCCAAAAGTGGTGGCATGCGCCTGTAGTCCCAGCTACTCAGGAGGCTGAGGCAGAATAATTGCTTGAACCCAGGAAGCAGAGGTTGCAGTGAGCTGAGATTGTGCCACTGCACTCCAGCCTGTGTGACAAGAGTGATACTCCATCTCAAAAAAAAAAAAAAAAGCTCTTACACAATGAATTCCTTGAGAGCAGGCACAGTATTGATGCCTCACTGCTCACTGTCATCACCACACCAAGCCTGTGTTTGTCTGTAAATGAATTAATGGATGGTAAAGTGGCTTAGTTATTATATTTATTAACGAATTAAATTGTTCTTTAAAAGAAATCCAAAATTTCTAGATTGAGATGAAGAGACAACTTATGTCTATATAAAAGTTGGGCACCTACATGAAATAAATTCATTAATCCATTTCAATTACCCAGACTATTTATCTACCTCGATCTGAGTGTTATTGTCCTGCCCATCATCCAGCAGCAGGTCTGTGAAGCTTCTGGGCTCAGGAGAGTCTTGGCCGACGCTTGCTCGGTTCGTGTCTACCGCCTTGAGAAAGTCCAAGTTTCTTTTCCACCTGTGGCTGTACGCGTGTGAATCAACTTCCACCTCCTCCTCTGTGTGAGGGAAGGCCTGAGTAACTCCATACTGCCAATCTGTTTGAAAAAGAAAGAAAATGGGTTACCACTCATTATGTGTACCATACATGCAAGTGCTATCGGCTCGAGAAGAAAAAAGAATTCTGTGAGGCACGAGAATAGGAAACTAACTTGTAACAGTTAAATCTGTTTACTTGCAATATCTTGAGCTGGTACGAACATCTCTGATTGGAATGCAATTGCAGGAAACACCAGGAGTTGTGACAGTGGTTAACGGGCAGATCTTGCAGAGTTTTTAAAAACAGATGTGCAGCCCTGAAGCAATGCATTTTTATTCCCTTCCCTTGCCCCCTCCACACGCACACTTCATACACATTCTCTAGCTGTTCTGAGAAAGCAAGCTAGAATCCAAACAAAAGGATGAAACCAAGTAATTGTCAGATTATTTTGAAAATAAAAGTCAGACCTCATTAATTTGTAAGCTTATATTTATTTCATATTTATTTCATGCTGGACAGCAAAGAGACACCAGTGTATAGGAACGGGTTAAATAATACATGAAATTGTCTTCGTGTAAATGGGCGAAACTACCTTGTAGCTTACAAGCCAGTCTTCATTCATTGCCTGACCCATTTAATAAGTAAGACCCTCAGGAGTCATCCCTGCACTTTTGTTCATCTGTGCCGTTCTCACCTTGAAATCTCGTCAGGGTCTAAAGGATGACAGTGATGGGCACTTACAGAAATGGATGGGAAGGCAAGGAGATCAAATCACAAAGGCATTTTAAAGTCATCTGCAGGGACTGGCCTTGCTGACCCAGCTCATCCTGCTACTCCAGGAGGAAAAAATGAGATTTAATCATTGCTCCTCGTCTCTCATTTCAGTAGGTCAGCAGGGGAAAGCATGCCACAAGTATTGGAAATTCAGTTTCTGAACAAGAACAGCCTTCTTCTACCCAACTATTAGTAAAAGATATGAATGGACGGGTTTTAGAACTGGCAAGATATGGGTTCCAAAAGGCAGAAGGAGCAGTGATTTAATTACAGCCATTATGTTCCCCTTGGTACAAGAACATTCTAAGAAACCAAAATGTATTTAATGCAGCTTATAATACAATGATTCAGCTACTTAGAACTCTAATAACTAACTTAAGATTACCACTACCAATCACAGGCATAATTACCTAAACTACCTCCTTTTCAACTCAGAAAGGTGCTAGTAATTCTTCTAGACAGAGAGGATATTATTTGGTTTCACAGTAAACCAAAGATCTCTGATTGTCTGATGTCATGATGCATACAGTAAAAGATCTCTTATTGTCTGATATTATGATGCATAGAGTAAGGATATATGCCTGTCTCATACCAGAGAGAAACACTACCATGATGTCTGCCATCTAGACCTTTCCTTGAGCTCATAGAATGTTAGAGCTCAAAAGGACCACAGAGACCAAAGTAGCCAAAACTCCACAGGGAGAAACCCAAGAGCAAGAGAAATGTAGCATTGTGTTCTTTTTATTGAATTGTTAGAGGCTAAAAAAACAAAACAAAACAAAAAAAAAAACTCATGTACATAAAGGGCTGAGTGTGGACACCCTCCTGCCCTCCATACAGTAAGTGTTTAATAAGCACATCTAAGCAGTATTGTCATCGTCACTGTAGAAAATATCTCTTTTTATAACACTGTTGTCCCTACTGGCCATTGGATAGTACTCAAAATGTGTTTATTGATTGACTGAATGAGTGGACGAATGAATTGTTGACAGTCTTTCTGGAGCAAGCATCATCGGACCAGGCAAAATTAAGTAATGAAAAAACTACTGTGCAAGGAAGAATCCAGGACTCTTGGGCTGGAATTCTGTCTAGTAGGTTTGCTGGTTGTATGATCCGGCATAATTCTAAAAAGTCTCCGTGCTTTTGTTATTCTATATTTTAAATGGGAATGAAAATATCCTGCCTGCAAAAGCAGACAGCTTTTCCTGAGAATGTGTCAGGCTCTGAGACCTACGGTTTTAGGCAAAGCTACATAAAGCAATTTTACTTGCTTTATTTATATATCCTGCTTCATTACCAAACATACATGAGGCACCTTATAACCCAGCAATAAAACTTTATGACAACCAGATAAGACCTCCTAGCACAACACTTAGGTCAATGTCAGATACCTGCATTTTCCTTGCACTTGCTATAGTAGCTCTTAGCAAGTTACACCCCTGACATAGCTATGCAAACACAAAGAGTCATGTAGGAACCACTGAAAACCCATGCAGGATCCTTGTTAGAATGTCAACCTAGATAAGAAATGGTAGCAAACATCATTCAGAGAATAGATTAAATGATTCCAGATAAAAAAAATGGTATTTAAAAAACATACACACTAAGGCAATGGTGTCAACCAGAGGCCTATCAGTCTTTCAAAATGTAAATCAGAAAAAAAAAAAACAAACACCTACAACTTCAAAGGATTTGTCTTCATTAAAATCTTCAAAACAGAATTTCAAAGCAGCTCTTGGTTTCTTTTAAATAAGTGTTACTTATTCCTCCTTGATGTTAATTTTTACCATTTTTTAGATATTTATAACATAGGACAAAACAGAACTTTCTGGAATACCCATTAGCACCTTCCCTCCCCTTTTAAATTAGCTTCTGGGATCCTGGCACAGAACAGAAAGTAAACGGAATGCCTAATACTGGAGGAGCCTTCTGCATGGGATTCTACTTCTAAACTTTCTCAAATTCGCTTTCCTATTTTTTCTTCCTGCCTTCCTTCTCTAGAGAACAAATGAAAAGGAGCTCCAAAACTTAGAAACGATGAAGTCTCTATTTCCCACTTAAGTTGAAATTTGAGAAGTCTGATGAATGTGTCAAACTCTTGTTTTTGTACTGAACATTCAAGCTCATCCTTTAGTAAGATTATTAGGAAACAGTAAATTTAGCAGACAGGTATGAGACAAGCATATATCCTTACTCTAGCACTTACAAGGTTTGGTCTCTAGACAGCTGAGGTTTGATTTTTTTTTTCCCCCACTGTTTAGCAGCGTTTTATGATTTTGTATCTCTCGCTTGCTGTTACCATTGACAGCTGTTACAGTCAAATGTTGACAAACCTCCATCTCTGTGCCTCCTGGAATTTGCTACCTCAAACTTGGAAAACAGATCTCTTGCTTGCTCTAATTGTGTTTGCAAAGAGTAAACAGGATCTCAGGAAAAACATGAGGTGTTTTCTAATGAGAACATTTGTGAGCTTTAGGGCCTGGCATCCATGAATATCCTTTTGGTTGCTTCTTTTGGTTGGCATTTTAAACCTAATTCTTTCTCTCTGGTTATGTCATGAATAAACAAGGCTACCTGGTCGTGCATAGAGGAAATCCTATTATATGTTCATAATTCAGTAGTACATGGCTCATCAAGACTGAAAAGTATGAAACTGAGTTAGATTTTGATCCCACTTCTAAATGATTTTTAGAGAAGATAAAACAAGTCAAAATATATGTTTTACAGAATAAAGACAGGATAATCAGAAAAATCACAGCTTCGTTATCTATATTGTAAATTACTCCTAGGCATTTCACAGACTTTCAAACTCATACAAATGTTTTAAATTACTCTTTAAATCAGCACCAAAACAAATTACTCAGAAGCAAGATGAAGGAATATATGTGATATAATTTTTCCCTTTCCAGCTGCAGTAAAAACAAAAACAACAGCAGGGATCTTTGAATAGTCTGGCTGAACAGATTGTTTGCTTTCGGTCTACTGTATGTTAATTAAACCACTGATGGAAAAACCTTCAAAGATCATTTTCCCCAACATATTTGGCTATAGTCATTAATCACATAGCTCATGGAAACACTAAATGCATCTCTTGATTCCCATTGGAATATAAGAAGACGAAGCTTTGAAAACACATTTCTGTAAATACAATATATACATTGATCTTAACACATTCTTGAGATTTTTTATCATAATAGCAGATAAACTATTGTAGAAAGTTCTTCATTGTTTTTCCAATAAACATGAGTAGGAAACCCCACAACGTTCAGTTAATCTGAGAGTAGAACAGGAAATTCATGTGTATCCTCATATATATTCTCATATTATTCTTTGCAAATCTTGCAGGTCTCTTTTTTGTCATCACATACTCTAATATAATATAAAAGCAAAAGAGAAGAAAGCTTTGCTTGGAAGGATATGTTTATGTATTATTCTAATGATTTTATTAAAATATCTTGCATTTAATTAATAGTTATTTGCTGAAAACATTTGAACATTTTTTGAGTTTTACATACAAAGCACACACATAAGACAGGTGAAACCACCAAAAAGTAACTGCATAAATTGACATGCATCTTATGTAATTAGGATCCATCTCTACTGCACCTTATGACAAACACTTTGACCTGCACATTTCAAGTGAACCAAATCACTATTGTAAATCCTCTGAAACATTCAGATTGTTCACTGAAAGCAGATTGGCTGGATAGATACATTTGAGACTAGATGAAAATATTTGGCTAAGATAGAATGCCATATGTCTTTGCATCTCAATTCATTGCAGAACCAAAGATAAAATTCTATAGAAAATAGTTATATCTTTAGGTATGTCGATAAACTAGACTACTCCAGCTTTGAGGTTTTAACTGGCAGCATTACAGACTAAGGTAGCTACAGAAGATAAAGCTTACAGAATGTTTGGTTCAGAGATACTAAGGAGTTGAATGGGACCTAGACACTCTATTTTATTAAAGCTCTGAGGAAGACTTTTGTGTCTCCTAGGTTGAACTTTGCCTCATATTCTATTCCCACCATAGGTGCTGATATGGTTTGGCTGTGTCCCCACCCTAATCTCATCCTGAATTCCCATGTGTTGTGGGAGGGAAACAGTGGGAGATAATTGAATCATGGAGGCAGGTCTTTCCCATGCTGTTCTAGTGATAGTGAATAAGTCCCATGAGATCTGATGGTTCTATAAGGGGAAGTTTCCCTGCACAACCTCTCTCTCTTTGCCTGTTGCCCTCCATGTAAGATGTGACTTGCCCCTCCTCGCCTTCCCCCATGATTGTGAGGCCTCCCCAGCCACATGGAACTGTAAGTCCATTAAACCCCCTTTTCCTGTATAAATTACCCAGTTTCACGTATGTCTTTATTAGCATGGTGAAAATGGACTAATACAGGTGCCTCAGGTCACATTTCCATCATCTTTTGTCTCCTGGCTTCCTAGCCTGTTTGTTTATTTGTTTGTTTTAGAGACAGGGTCTTGCTCTGTCACCTGGGCTTTAAGTGCAATGGCACGATCATAGCTCACTACAGCCTCAAATCCCTGGGCTCAAGTGATCCTCCCACCTCAGCCTCCTGAGTAGCTAGAATTACAGGTGCACACCACCATGCCCAGCTAATTTTTAATTTTATTTTTTGTAGAGATGGGGTCTCACTTTGTAGCCCAGGCTGGCCTCAAACCCCTGGCCTCAAGTGATCCTTCAGCCTCAGCCTTCCAAAAATGCTGTGATTACAGGCATGGGCCTCCATGCCTGACTAATTTTTAATTTTATTTCTTGTAGAGATGGAGGTCTCATTTTGTTGCCCAGGCTGGTCTTAAACTCCTGGCCCCAAGCAATCCTCCCACCTTGGCCTCCCAAAGTGCTGGGATTATAGAAGTGAGCCACGGTGCCCAGCCCTATCTAGTCTTATGTTGTCATATTCTTCCTTTTACAACCTTTTCTCCACTTGCTACCAGAGACACCTTACAAATTTTTCACTTCACTTTTCTGACAAGCCTCGAATGACTCCTTATATCCACTCAACTATAAGACACCCCATCCTCTTGTTCCACTTTCCTATCTCTTCCTTGTCCCCATCATGCCTATGTTCCCATCACACAGAATTTAATAGTTTCTTTACCTACAATGAATATAGTTACTATTGCATGGATGAAAGCCTTTACCCTACCCCAAGACTTTGGGAAATCTGATAACTCCTTCAAGATTCAGCTCAATATTGTCTGTTTAAATGAACTTCTCTTGACTCCCCCAGGTAGAGCTAATTGAGTTTTCTTCTATAATCCAGTAATTCCTTTGCCTGACTCCTTCAACATTCTTATGTCTACCACCACTGGAATGTGAGACTGTGCAGAGGAGAGTTAACACAGAAGGCATGAGACTGCTATCCTTAGAAAGTGCTATTTGCAAGTCTGGCCCATATCTGGCATCTGGAAATTTAGATTTAGGGACGGTTCCCATCATTCCCTAACTGATAAAAGTGGCTCACAGTGCCTAAACCGGACAAACAATGGGATTTATGCTGAACACCTTCCTTCCTTCTGGGAGTCTGGAATTTTGGTACATGCTAGACAAAAGATAGTTTACATGACTAGCCCACAGTAGGACCTTGGGGACTGAGTTTTTAATGAACGTCTGGGATAGACAATATTTCACACTGTGAACGTGTTATAACAATTCATTGCTGAAAACATAAAATGCATACCGTGTGTGGAAAGGACTCTTGGAATTTTGGCCCTGGTTTCCCTGGACATTGTCCCATGTGCTTTTCCCCTGTACCAATTTTGCTTTGTCTCCTTTTGCTGTAATAAATCATAACCATGAGCATGACTATATGATGAGTCTTGTGAATCTCACCAGCAAAATCACCAAAGCTGGGGTAGTCTTGGGGACCACTGATACAGAGATGTCTCAAAATAGAGACTCTAGCTTATTTATATTTTTTGTCCCATCAATACAAGCATGGACATTGGCATATAATACCTATCTAAAGTTTTTTAATAAAAATTCAAAGAGGCCTGGCGCTGTGGCTCACGCCTGTAATCCCAGCACTTTGGGAGCCGAGGTGGGTGGATCTCCTGAGGTCAGGAATTCGAGACCAGGCTGGCCAACGTGGTGAAACCCCGTCTCTACTAAAAATACAAAAAATTAGCCAGGCGTGGTGGTGCACACCTGTAATCCCAGCTACTTGGGAGGCTGAGGCAGGAGAATTACTCGAACACGGGAAGCGGAGGTTGCAGTGAGCCGAGATTGCACCACTGGACCCCAGCCTGGGTAACAGAGCGAGACTCTGTCACACACACAAAAAAAAAATCAATAAATGAATGATTAACCAGGTTAACTGCTCATCTGAGACGGTGTCTTAAAAGTTTATGTATGAAACCTCTTGTCTAACTTATTAAGATTTTAAACTGAGTGCAGTGGCTCATGCCTTTAATCCCAGCACTTTGGGAGGCTGAGGCAAGCAGATTGCTTGAGACCAGGAGATGGAGACCTGCCTAGGTAACACAGCAAAACCCCATCTCTACTATAACTGCAAAATTTAGTAAATTTTGGTGAGAAACATTTGGGTATGGTGGTGTGTGCCTGCAGTCCCAGCTATGTGGGAGGCTGAGGTTGGAGGATCGCTTGAGCCTAGGAAGACAAGGCTGCAGTGAGCCATGATGATACTAATGCATTCTAGCCTTCCAGCCTGGGTGACAGCAAGAAGCTGTCTCAAAAAAAAAAAAAAAAAAAAAAAAAAAATTTAATCATGTTTCCAAGTAGTCAGAGAAAATGGTTAAAAAAAAAAAAAAAAAAAAAAAGGAGAATACAATGGGAACCTATGAAAGCTTCTCTTTATCCAAGATGATCTTAACCCCAAAATAGCTCACTGGACAGTTGGGTAATGTTTAGCTACACTTATGATTGCAGTTCATCATCTCTGTTCTTTGTGGTTAATGAAATCAGTAAGAAGTATAACACATGTCTTTTTGGAGAATGTGGGCATGGCTATGTGGGATTGAAAGGCTATGAAACTAGATGAAAAAAAGAACAATTTTAAGTTAAAACTAGAAGATGAGCAGAGAATGACTCTGGAAGTTCGAGGCATAAGGGTTCAATCTCTGAGGCAGCAGAGAATTAGAACCATGCAGGCCTATGGCCAAGATGCAAGTGCCCTGCACATTCCCTACTCTCTGTCCTTACCCTTCTCTGCCTTTGAAGTCATTGCAGGAATTTGGGCCATTGTAGGGTAATGTTTTGGTGAAAAACATTTGGCAATTTAAAAAATATATATATAAAACGAAACAGAACGGGAAAATCCAATTAAACAGGCACTCAATCCAAAATACACACTTGGCCAGGTACTGTTGCTGACGCCTGTAATCCCAGCACTTTGGGAGGCCAAGGTGTGTGGATCACCTGAGGTCAGGAGTTTGAAACCAGCCTAGCCAACATGGTGAAAGCCAGTCTCTACTAAAAATACAAAACTCAGCCAGGTGAGGTGGCGCATGCCTGTAATCCCAGCTACTCAGGAGGCTGAAGCAGGAGAATTGCTTGAACCCGGGAGGCAGAGGTTGCAGTGAACCGAGATTGCACCACTGCACTCCAGCCATGGACACAGAGTGAGATTCCATTTCAAAAATAAATGAATAAATAAATAAAAATACACACTTAACTAATTTACACTTTTAAAATGTAACGGTTTATAATTTTACTATTAAATAAAAGAGTAAAGAGACATTATAACTTTATGTGTAATTATGATATACTATCCTATGGAAAATATAAAGTATGCCAAGCCTAATGAGCCATAATTAATAAAATTAAGACAACTGTAAGGTATTGCTACATCTTTACTAAAGTATTAAAAATAAATAGAATAAAACTGTATTAATGATTATAAAACAAAGTTGTTTTACACATTGCTTCTAATGAAAGGTTAATAATAATAACAATAACCCTCATTTAGGGTTAGTAATGGGCTTGGGCTTGGCATGAATTATTATCCCATTTTACAGATGAGGGAATTGACGTATGTGAGAAGTCCAGTGATGGTTCGGGGAGGCAGCCAGAGCCGAGTCGTGAGGCTAGGTCTTAATTCCTGTCTAATCTGCCTCTGATTAATCGTTCAGAGGATCAGTTTAGCAATCTGTGACAAAGCCTAGTGATATAACACAAGAAAACAATCAAAGGAGAAAAAATAATCTAAGCAAAGTGGGCTATTTAAAACAGCAAAAATCTGTAAACAATTCAGCAAGGAAAAGCAAATAAGAAATAGGATATCCCATCATGGTGACTCTGTTAATAGAAGGAAATGAAATGCTGTTAAGGTAAAAACGGAGCAGAAAGTAATACTACAGTAATATTGGTTGTTGTTTTCTATTATATCTTGAAATATTTGGGAAGTACTTTAAAACAATTAATCTTTGCATTAATTGAGGGTTTTCTACTAACTGTCTAGTAGGAATTTAAAAGAAAAATGAAATTCAAGACAATTTTAGCACTTGTTATACTGTGATAATGATAATCTCTTATCTTATAATAAAAGGAAAATGATCAAAGAACTCAGAGCATCCACTGAATTTTCATATAAAATCTGTGTGATTTATTTAAGGAATAGGCTTCTTTCCACAGGAGCCATAATCCACAGATAACCTATGAATAGGAAAAGAGCATTTAATGAAATCTGAAAATCTATTTTTTAATAAGATTCTTGTGATTTTTCACAAAGAACATTGCATCATAAACCCAGAAACCACATAAAATGTTTAGGTATGTAACTTCCCACCATTGGTGAAATGATAGGGTGCAGCTTTATAGCCATATGGTTCTTCCCACCTAGAAAAGTCTACTACCCTCCAGTTTAGCTAAGTGTCTAGTTTTTGTACTTTAGGCTATTTGGGGTCATATATTAAATATTCTACATTGATTTTCAAGTTTTCTATTTTATTTGTGGAAATTCATGTGCTATGATAGTTTAGTGGTTCCAGAGCACAACAATCAACTAAAACCACTTGGTAAAACACTTTCACACTGCTATTCATCTTTAGTCATCTCAAACTGCTCTTGTTTCCTATATTGGGCTAATTTTATAATGAGGGCTCTGAACTAACAGGTAAGTCCCACTGCATGAAAAGTTTGAGTCCGCCAACCAGGGGAGATGGAAAATTCTGTAAACAAGGACCAATCATGGCCAATACCTCACTATGGAAAATATGAAATGGCTGAGGCAGAAGAGGCCAGATGTAATCAATTCTTTTAATGGTACCCAGTGTGAGAGATGATCTGCAAATGTCTCGGACCCAAATCACCGAGGGCCTTCTATTAAATCTAGGCTGCCAGATGTCTGATAGACTCTGATAGACTCAATCTCATTCCACATTGTCATAACTTTATATTCAGTTTGTGGGGTTGGAATCCATAATGGTGCAACATTGAGCCCAGGCTGACTTATCCAACGACCAGAGACGACAGCCAATAGATGTACTTCTATCTGATTATGTTTTATAAATTGTATATGATTTAAATCAGATAAATCATAACCCCATTATCATCAACTTACCCAGTTCCCATTCTGATTAATTCAAGGTAGTATTAGGGGTGAAATATTTTGATTTGAAAAACATGTTTCTCTAGGTAAACATATGATTTTGAATTTAAAAAATCACTTTTCATTTAGCTTCTTTCCTCAAAATGGTAGAACATTAAGCCAAAAAAAAAAAAAAAAGGGAAAATGATGAGAAATAGAAATTTCAACATCACTATAAATTTAACAAAGAAATATTGGGTATTCACAAACTGAATCACAGTTGTTGTTTTTTTTTTTTTGAGAGAGAGTTTCGGTCTTGTTGCCCAGGCTAGAGTGCAATGGCATGATCTCGGCTCACCGCAACCTCTGCCTCCCAGGTTCAAGCAGTTCTCCTACCTGAACCTCCCAAGTAGCTGGGATTACAGGCACGTGCTACCACGCCCCACTAATTTTGTATTTTTAGTGGAGATGGGGTTTCTCCATGTTGGTCAGGCTGGTCTCGAACTCCTGACCTCAGGTGATCCACCCGCCTCGGCCTCCCAAAGTGCTGGGATTACAGGCATGAGCCATCATGCCCGGCCTGAATCATACTTTCAATACTATTTCACTCCACTGAATTTAGTAAGATTTTTTTCACTTTTTTGGGAATAAAACATTTAAATCTGGATATGAACTACTGTTCATCCAAGTAGCAGTTTTAAAATAAAGTTCCCAAGAATTTCTAAAATGCTATGAATGTCTGAATTCTGACATTGCTTTCCTAAATGACTTTCCCTAATTAAATTGCATGATTGCATATATTTACACTGATTACATAATTTAACTAACATTGTAAATAATCCACAATCAACAAAATTACATTAAAAAAAGAAATCAAGACAGTAAAAACTATACTAAAATTAGATTTCCATTTTTGTGATATATTCCTTAAACATACAAACAACCAGTTAAGAATTAAGCACTAAAATGAGATAGAAACTCACATTTCAGAAGTAATCTATCAACACCTGTAGATTAGTTGAGCTCTAACACTTAGAATCCAGCGGCTTCTCTTTTTCTTTATTTTTGAATTACATTTTTATAAAAGGTTTTCATAACTCACAAAAGCAAATTCTAGATAAACTAGAAGACTCTCTAAATAGTTGTTAAAATATATATTTAGAATAAATTCCTTCTAAGGGTGTGGCCTACTTTAGTGTAAGACTAAGAAAAATACCTGAACTTCATAAAATAATTGAAAAACAATGTCTTTCATATAGGACAACAAATTCTTGCCAGGATTTTGCTAAAAATTATGTTTGATATATAGTCACTAATGCTCAGGACAAAGTACTAAGACAGAAATCATGGTCTTTATTTTATAAATAAGCAACACCTGAAGAATATGGACTTAACGTGGTCCAGTTCAAAAAGTCATTAAGTGATGAATTTCATTGTATAAATAAAAAAAAAATCCTGGTGGTAAAGTAAGCATGACCTCATTCTAATTAAAAACACTGGCCAGGTGCGGTGGCTCACACCTGTAATCCCAGCACTTTGGGAGACTGAGTCGGGCGGATCAGGAGGTCAGGAGTTTGAGAACAGCCTGTCCAACATGGCAAAACCTCCTCACTACTAAAGATACAAAAATTAGCCGGGCATGGTGGCGAATGCTTGCAATCACAGCTACTCGTGAGGCTGAGGCAGGAGAATTGCTTAAACCCAGGGGATGGAGGTTGCAGTGAGTCAAGATCACACCACTGCACTCCAACCTGGGTGACAGAGCAAGACTCCATCTCAAAAAAAAAAAAAAAATTCACATAAGTAAAAAAATTGAAGGACTCTATAAAATTATTAAATTAAAATACTTTTTTAAAAATATAAAAAATAAATCATTAAAAAGGAAATAAGAAAACAATTAAAATATTATTCCATCCTGGGTGCAGGGCTCAGTTATCACCTTAATGAATATGCTTCCAGAATATTTCTCTGAAAGCCTGCACATGTCTTCAAATATACAGGTATGCATGTGTGTACATAAATATGTGTCCACATATGCGTATAACTTGATTTCAGCACCACATAATAAATATCTTTCCATGTTATTGGCTATATATTATATTTAATGGACAATTTGTGTCTACCATAAACTATTACTGAATTGTTAACATTTTAATTTGATACTAGAGGCTATATTTTTGTGAACAACTGCAATCATTTGCTCAGAAAAAATTTATGAGTAGAATCTGTATGCTAATGCACTCAGCCTGTATCAGTTTACACACTCACCAGCAGGTCATGATAGCATACCACATTTTATAAGGTAAGCTCCAAAACGTACTTTACAAACTTTTGCTTGTAAAAAACCATTTACATTTTGTTAAGCATCTCCCAGGTATTTTCTTCTTACTCAGGCTAAACCATAGAAAACTGGATTTGTATTGTTAGTCACCTAAATGTGGTATTAGGCCAGGTGCGGTGGCTCATGCCTGTAATCCCAGCACTTTGGGAGGCCAAGCCTGGTGGATCACCTGAGGTCAGGAGTTTGAGACCAGCCACACTGGGCAATATGGTGAAATTTCATCTCTACTAAAAGTACAAAATTTAGCCAGGTGTGGTGGCAGACACCTGTAATCCCAGCTACTTGGGAGGCTAAGGCAAGAGAATCTCCTGAACGGGGGAGGCGGAGGTTGCAGTGAGCAGAGATGGCGCCATTGCACTCCAGCCTGAGCAACCAAGTGAGACTCCATCTCAAAAAAAAAAAAAAAAAAAAAAAAAAAAAAAAAAAAAGTGGCATTATTAACTTAACCCTAACTTGAAATTTTGCCAATATAAATATTTTAGACCTTATCAAATGATGGAAAAATCTTGACCAGAAAATAACAATACTGAAAGCACTACAACATTTGATTTTATCCCTGTACAGTGAGAATATGAATATGTTTTATCTTTGCTAAACCATACAATTTTGGAGATAATATCATAACTAAATACTTCATTTTTAATATGTCTGTGGTATAGGTTGAAGTATGCTAGTCCTTGAATCCACTATTAAGTAAATATATATTTTTGAAACTTGAGACCTAATCTTAAATATTATCTATTTTCAGTCACTTCTCACAAATTATAGATAGTGATATTAAGAGGATTACTTAATTTTGAGAGTGAAGGTAAGATATAATTTCTCTAACCTACAAATGGTTAAGGAAAAAAAAGTATGAACTATAGCACAAAAAAATAGTAGGAAGTTGTCAGTTAACCCAAAAGAGGTTCCCAATTTTGAAATATTATTAGAATATCTTAATCTTTCCTGGAAGCTACACATATCAGGTATTTTCCAATTCTGTATTTCCTTAGTTATCAGTTAGGCTTGCAAAGGCTTTCAAAATCATTGAGCTTCTAAAATTCTAACGAAAGGATAGTAAGCTCATGTGACATTACCCCAACAATGGTGATTATGTAAATGATGAACCTCCAGCCAAACCAAGGACAAAAGCATTACATTTATTCATGACTAACAAAGGCTGGGAGAAGAAAAAGTGTAATTATTTGGTGGTAAGAGTCTAAATTTTAAACAAGATGGGTAGGGGAAAGGGAATAGGGTATGAAATGTAAGTTATATATAAAATGTAAGTTAGATTATGAACTTTTCCTCCTCTTTTCTGTTAACAAAAATGTAAAATAAAAACAAATAACATCGGCTGGGCGCGGTAGCTCACGCCTGTAATCCCAGCACTTTGGGAGGTCAAGGCGGGAGGATCACAAGGTCGGGAGATCGATCGAGACCATCCTGGCCAACAAGGTGAAACCCCATCTCTACTAAAAATACAAAAAAAAAATAGCCGGGGGTGGTGGCGGGCGCCTATAGTCCCAGCTACCGGGGAGGCTGAGGCAGGAGAATGGCGTGAACCCTGGAGGCTGAGCTTGCAGTGAGCCGAGATCGCGCCACTGCACTCCAGCCTGGGTGACAGAACGAGATTCCGCCGCAAAAAAAGAAAAAAAAACAAAACAAAACCAAATAACATCAACACTCAAAGAATCAACCTAGAGTAAAAAAAGGATGGCAAGTGTACCTTAATATTTAAATTTCAATCCATTTACATCCAGATTTGCATGCATGACACTCTGGACTAAAGAAAGAGTATTAAATCGGTAAAAAATTATGTTCTGGGACGGCGGGATGCACGTGACCATGAAAATCTAGACAAACTTTTAACAAACTAGGAAAAGGAAAAAAGAAAGCGACATTGTTTAGGTATTTAGAATGGTGGCAAAGTCACATAATAATAATTTTGGTAGTTGGTTAAAGCAGAGGGAACCTCTCTGGAAAAGGCTGATCGAACATGTGGTTATTCTATGAAGGCATCAACTGCTCCTAGCCTGGGTCAGGGGTCATCTCTCTAGGCTCTCCAGCCAAATGGGATTAACCTCACTTGTCTTTTCACTAAACGCTGAAACGTGGGTAATGGCTTTGCTCCATTTATGTTTCAATTAATACAAACAGTGGTAGTACTTGAGAAAATTGAGAAAGGGAGATATCAGTGAAATACATATCTTCCTTTCCCAATTAAATATATATCCCACAACCACTTCCCACTTCAAACATCTGTGATAACTAGCCTTGAGCACTTCCAGTGTTCATGCACAGAAATCACTATTTGCCTTGAACTCCAGTCCCACTCAAAAGTAATAATCCTGCATCTCTTCTAGAATAAATTAATGCACATTAACATGTTCCCATTCTACACAGATAATTTTCTTTCGCATTTCCCCAGAGGAAAAGCAAAATGCTCTGAGACACACTTTCAAGTATACTGCTTATAAGGAATGGCATGTGGATAAAGAGAGGAAAAGACATCACCGTGTTCTCACTTTAACTTTACATAATGTCTCACAACTCCCAAAACACTGCTCTGGAGTGAAGTGTTTTAACCTGCCTTTTGTTATGAATTACTTGGCTGGGTAACAGACAGGCAGCCTGGGATCATTTCTTTTTGTATGTCTTTTTCTTTTTCTTTGTTTTTTTTTTAAGCCATCAACATCTTTCAGTGCTATTTGGAATGCTGAGAGAATGCTTTGTTCCATTCCCATTTATCAATCGAATACTTCATGAAGTTTAATTAAAATTAAGTCAAAAATATTCTCTGTATTTGTATAAACCTTAAATTTGTTAACCTGTTATTGGATTTTCAAAAATACCTGTTTAGAAAACTGATTTAATTTTCTATTTATATGTAAATTCCAGTTTCTAAGCTTGGATTCAGGTCTGTTCTGAGAATGCTAATCCTAACTCGACTGTATTTAAACTCATTGTAAATACACTTAGAAAGACCTCTCACTAGTTCATAATACGTTTATCAATCACTGACATTTAAAACATTTCAGAGTGCTCTGCAAAATGCCTAAGTTCCTGTTTGTGAAAAAAAAAGAAGTGCTTTCTCCTCAATTCGATGTAAATTCATCCATTCATTCATTCATTCATTTCTTCTTAATCAAATCATGCCAGCTTCAAGCTTTCCAAAGGCTTCCCAGTGGTTTGCAGAAGCCCCAGCCAAAACATGGTGCCAGCAAGAATTAGCCTTCTACTGGAGGACTGGAAGGAGGACCAGTGTGACTGGAGTGGAGGAAGCATAGGCAAAGTGGTCTGACACAAGGAGGGAAGGTGAGAAGAAACCGTATCCCCCAGGGCCTTGCAGAAAGCAAGGAAGTTGGATTTTACTCTAAGGAGGTGGAAAGTCACTGGAAGGGTTTTAGCAAGAAAAGGCTTGATCCAACACATGACTTAACATGATCACCTCCGCTATTATTGACTTCAAAATAGATTGCTTGAGTATATGTTTTCACCACGTCAGGCTCACTTGATAAAAGCAAACAATGCTTTTATTCTGAAGATATCCGGCTATCACACATAAAGTCAGTAAAGGATTGACTAATTTGATGAGTTACTTGTTAGCATAAAGAGTGGACTCAGAGAAGAAAAGTAAGTACTTAATTAGGCTGACAGGTGAGTAAAAATTTTAATATCTAGGATTGTTAATTCCCCATTTCATGTATTTAATAAGACATATGAAATACCTGAGTTTTCCACATCATCAGCAACTTCTCTAAGTGGAAATAAGAAAACAACTGAACACTACTAAAATCCACTACAATAATCTCTACTATAGAAAAAGTGGATTTAAACTTCCTGCATCAAGGTGTGGCATGGAAGAGCAAAAATAACCTGATTTGTTCTATCCCCATTTTCCTCTGTTTAATATTTCAACAGGTAGAAAGGACAGCAGTTAATTTTAACAAATAAAATCAAAGACAGGAGAAGGGGAGGAGTCACCCTAAAATTTATGGTGGCTTATTGGCCATAAACAGAGACTGTGTCTGAGGTCCATATCTTACCAGAAATCTGACCAAAGCATCTCAGTTTGCAATGCATGTATCGCCCTGATAATGCAGGAATGCAAAGAGTAATGAAATTGGTTTCCTAAACAGAAAATAAGCCTTCGCAGCTGTAGAAGATGCTCAAGAAATCTTTGTTGAATGAATGAACAAATAACATTTCAGAAGAAAGAAAACAGAAATGCAATTTCCTTTTACAAGAGTAAGAATTAAAGAAAAAATTAGGGACAGCTGTTATACAACCGAAATTCCTACACGTTGAACATCAATAAAATCTCTACATTCTTCCTATCATTGATAATAAAAGTACACATAAACTAGTTTCTCAAACTTCAGAATGCACTAAAATCACATGGTGTTCCTGAAGATTCCTCAAACCTACACGCTTCACAAAGACCCCTGGGGATACTGAGGCAGCTAGATCAGAGAACTACACTTGAAGAAACACTGTTGTCAGTAAAACACTGAATAATTCTATTTCTCCTGTGTCTCTGAAGTTCAGGGTCATAAACTTATACTGTCTGAGGTCCCACCATCAGTCATGCGCAGAAATCACTATTTGCCTTGAACTCTAGTCCCACTCAAAAGTAATAATCCTGCATCCCTTCTAGAATAAATTAATGCACAATTAACATGTTTCTACCCTACACATGTAATTTTCTCTTACATTTCCCCAGAGGAAAAGCAAAATGCTCTGAGACAAATTTTCAAGTGTACTGTTTACAGAGAATGGCATGTGAATAAAGAAAGGAAAACACATCACCATGTCCTCACTTTGACTTTACACAATGTCTCACATCTCAGGCTGACACCTGAGCCTGGGTCTTCAGACCTCAGGTTCAGTTTCAGCTCCCACACAAAGTCCACCTGGGATGTTCAGTGGCATTATCCTGCCTCTTCCCCCCTTGCTTTCACTAGGACACACCTGCCCCAACACCAGACCTCTTACTGGAGTGGCCATCCAGAAATGGGGAACCCTGAGATAGGGGTACACGATGGAAGTGAGGGATACAGGGGACCTGAATTCTTTCTGGAACTTGAATTATACCCATATAGGAAATACATATGTGAAACTCAAAGTGGTAGCTTCTGCTTTTTCTTGCCTGACACTTCGACGACCCATGGGAATATGTCATCATATGGAAAACCGCTGGACCAAGTCTCAGTAACACATTTAAACTGACGTATCACCCTATAGTTTGGGCCTGCCTTTTATATTGTAAATATCAGGATTAATTATTGGAGTGATGAGCTGGGCAGGCCAGGTACTAAGGAAAATCTAGGAAAAGCTCCCACATGCCCAGGACTCACCTGAGGGAAGGTGAGGGACTGTTAAGAGTTAAAATGCAGATCTGACTCGGGAGGTCCAAGGTGGGCCTGCAGTCCTGCATTTCGGACGAGCCTCCTGGTGTTGCTGCTGCCACCCCTGGTCCATGGACCGTACTTTGAGCAGCAAGGTTATAGGAGGGACCTATTAAACCTGGGATTCCAGAAAATAATAGGAACAAAAGAAGAACCCAG
Organism: Homo sapiens; assembly: GCF_000001405.40. NCBI lineage: Eukaryota > Metazoa > Chordata > Mammalia > Primates > Hominidae > Homo > Homo sapiens. Next base: position 19,983,652 of record NC_000010.11, on the reverse strand, counting down.
ATAGAGGAGGGAGGCAGAAGGAAATAAAGCTACATACATATTCTTATCTCACTGGGGCGTTAGTTTCTTTGGAGTTACCTAAAATTACTAAGTAAGAGCAGCTATTACACCAGAAGACTTAATGTCCTCACCCCCTCAGCAGTACATTGTTCTAGTCCAGCAGATAATTCCTCCACCTGACTTGACTTCCAAAAAAGTTAAGTAGGCATTTATCCTCCAAGAACAAAACAAACAATACAAAACCTTAGGAAGCCACATATATCAATGTAAGAACGCTTAGAAAAATGCTTAGTAAAGAAAAGTGTTTCTTTCCTTTCTTTTTCTTTTTCGCAAGATTAACAGTATGTCCTCTTTCCCAGTTTGGCTGGGTTAATTCAGAAAAAAGAATTAATTATAAAATAGAATTCACCAGTTACTCACTGCAGACCTGATTGCTATCAAATCTACTACCGATAATTAGAAGTATCAAGTGATTCGTTCAGTAAATACTAAAGATTTAGAATTTTCTCTTTAGTGATTAAGTGGAGGTTACCTACAGAGATATGCTGCTTAGAAGAGGATTTATATCATCAAATGTGATATAAGTAATTTTAGATTAAAAACAGTCTAAAGAACATATAAATGGTGTAAAAAGTATGTTAACATTGATAATAGATGATTATTTGGAGACTATGATGAAGTACTAAAATGAAATTTTAAAAATAATATACCTAAATTTTAGCAGATGTACTGTTTATAGAAATAAATGGACTTTCAGATCTACTGTTCTTTGTTCAATAAAGAGGCAATTGCATAATGATTCAATGTCCCCTCAGTAATACGAATGACCACCTGTGAAGAATGAAGGTTATTTAGTTTATTTCCTTATAATCCTATATTGTGTATCCACCAAAACTAATAAATAAGCTGATTTTTACAGATCATTTATTTTTAAAGATATAAAGGCATGTTTACTAGATGCTGGGTAGACATCTCAAAAAAGAACAACAAAAAAACTTACTGTCGTTGCTGTTGGGCATCAAAAATTTAGCTAGTGAGCATGTTTTCTATTTTTAAACGATGTAACAATCATATCACCTACCGATCCTGTATAAAAACATATATGTTAATTAATTTTACTGTCCTAACATTGAATTGAAGAAAACAAATAAGATTGTTAATATTATTGCTGGTATTTCTGGATTAGGCTGCAAAGAGCAGCCTGTACCACAACTGAAATAAACCTAGGAGTCTATGATATCCTAGAAGAAAGACTGTGAAGGTGTTTGACGGAGGATACTGCAATACTAGACTTGCAAATAGACAAAGACTCACAGAACGGAGGGATGGTTCTGAATGTATCTACCACCAATCAGTCACACGGGACCATTCAGGGACTCTAGGATTAAAATTAGTCATGTGACATGTTGTCGTTTCTTCCTCAAGGAAAAAGATTTTGAAATATTATTTCAAATGACTCCTTCATTGTCATAAGATTTTACAAAAATTCAGTTTTAGAAAAATGAATGCATTTACTCTTTGGGGAAAGTTTCTTGTCATTTGTACCAAAATGTGGAATTGCAGCAATCTGCAGAGGCAGGCATCATGAATACTATATATTCTGGACTAATGATAAGAGCACTGGAGATTCTCGTTTTACTCTGTCAAAGGGCTGTGGGTGTTTTCACATGCATTGCCTCACTGGACTGACCAGCTCAAAGAAAAGGGAGGTCAGGAGTTTCTGGATGGTTAGGGTTCACAAGAAAGCTTTACAATGAATCGGGACTAGCACTTCATCTTCAGAAAGGCCTGAAGGGCAATTTTGCTCGAACTCCACAGTGGGTCCTTACGATCAGTGCCATACTAATTTGAAATAATCCATTATTGTATGAAGTACATAATTTCAACTTTTTGTGTTTATATTGATCGATAAGATTTACAAAGAGTTGGCTGCAACCTAACAAAAAGGCGCATGCTGAATTAGCCACCACTAAAAAATAAGATTGTCACCCACCAGCCTGACTTTCAATCATTCCGTGAAACTCCATCTTGACCCATCATTTTGTGCAGAGATGCTTCCATGTTCTGAGTAAGCTTACTAAGAAAAGACAGGTCAGATGTCTGGGTGAGTCCCAGAGATCTCCTTCTGCTAAGATTCTGCTGCATCAGGTATAGAATAAATTCACCCATCATCTCCAACGGAATGAGGTTCAAGTCTCAATTGCACTTCAAACTACGTAAACTGACGAAAGACAAAAGCATGTACAACAAACCCATGTATCAAGACTTTAGTATCACTTCCCTCTGGGCCTCAGTTTCTTCATCTGTAAAAGTCTATGAAAACTATTTCATTTTCAAGGTCTAGGATGTGAAACAGAGATTGAGAGAGGCAAACACTAAATTGTTCAAATTGCTTTGTCTCTTCAATAAACTCAAAGAATTTCAAAGTAAATTTAAAACACAGAAACAGAGAGCAACTATTGAAATTCTTGAAGATTCAACTATCAAAGATTCAACTATTGAAGATTCAATGGCTGTCAGTAATTGTCAGTAACTACTCTTAATAATGGTTCAGCAAATGTCAAACAGCTGAGAAACAAAAATAACACAAGATTTTTTAAAAATCTTATACTTGTCACAAAAATCATTAAGCACCAATTCTCCCTATTGAAATAAAGAGGTAAAACTGATTTGGCATTTTTCTTGACAACTTTAAATGTAAACCTTAATGAATTAATCAAGACCAACTCAAAGTGAAAAATACAACAAAAGTTATAAAACCAGATGTTATGGACTGAATGTTTGCATCTCCCTAAGATTTGCATTTTGAAGCACTGACACCCAGTTTGGCTATATTTGGGGATGGGGCATCTATGGAATTAAGTAAAGTTAAATGAGGTTAGAAATTTGACACCCTGATCTCTGATCCTATAAGGTTAGTGCCTTTAGGAGAAGAAATACCAGATCGCACGTGTTCTCTCTCCCTGCTTATAATCTTGACTAACATTATTTACAAGTATTTTCTTATACGTATGTGTGTATACACATAGATGACTTGACTATGTTCTTGCTGTATCATTTCCATAGATGTCTGGCCCAAACCAAGGAAATGCCATGTGAGAACATAGCAAACAGAAGGCCAGCTACAAACCAGGAAGAGGTCCCTCACCAGAATCCAGATCTGCTGCCACCTTGATAATGGACTTGTTGCCTTCAGAACTGTACTGAAATACACGTCTGTTGTTTATGCCACCCAGTCTATGGTATTTTGTTAGAGCAGCCCTAACAGGCTGACACAAGACATCACAAACATAACTGATCCTTGACTATGTGTTTAGCAGTTAATTAGTTTCTGGGAGGGATACTGAAGAGTATAAGGTTCCTTCCTAAGTACAACTTGCAAAAATCTGTCAGTATACTGAACCCTTCAACTAGATATACCCACTACAAAGATCCATTCATTTAAGCATAAAAGAAATGTCAAACAAACAAGAACATCTTGCTATTAAAAAATGCAGTCACACCATCAAATAGACATTCACTCTCATCTTTTATATGTCTTGTATGTCAACAGTTTAGTAAAATATAATTGAAACACGAAGTCAGAGGCTCTATGAAAATCAAAGAGAATTTGAGTATCTCTTAAGATGCTTTTATATTACTTCAAATGGTACCCAGGATATACGACACTAACTAAGAAAAGGAAATTGTTTTTTAAGGAGACCTTTTCAATGATACACATTCAATTAGGAAAATGAACAGAATGCCAGGCTCCCAGATCAGTCTGAATTATCTGGGCTTAGTCATTTCTCCACTGTGGAAATGCCGAGGGGCAAGTTTATTTTAGGAAGTGGGAAGATGAAGCTCACATTACCACGTTTAGTCATGTAACTAACCCCTCATAGTAAGGCAAACTGGTCAAGTGGTACCTTTAGAGAGTCTAAAGCAGGAAGGAAAACAAAACCCCAAACAACTCAGGTGATAATTTGAAAAAGTTCCTTTAAAAAGGTGCGGGAGCTCACGCCTGTAATCCCAGCGCTTTGAGAGGCTGAGGCAGGTGGATTACTTGAGTTCAGGAGTTCAAGACCAGCCTGGCCAAAATGGCAAAACCCCACCTTGGCTAAAAATACAAAATTAGCCAGGCATGGTCGTGGGTGCCTGCAATCAATTGAGAGGGTGAGGCAGGAGAACCACTTGAACCTGGGAGGTGGAGCTTGCAGTGAGCAGAAATTGCACCACTGCACTCCAGCTTGGGCCACAAAGCAAGACTCAGTCTAAAAAAAAAAAAAAAATCTATCTATCTATCTATTGATAGACAGATGAAAGGAAGAAGTAAAGCTTATCTAAATTGGCTCAGATTATTTTGAAACTATTTATTGAATATTGTGCCAAGTACTGAACTAGGCTCAGGAGGCACAAAGTTAGTATCACGCAGAGGTATCACAAAATTGGCTTTAATCTCCCCCTTCCTTTTTTCTATGGGAGCATTTAAAGTCTTATGCAGAAGTGGGAGAAAAAGGTCCCATAGCAAATGAAGTTTATGAATGTTTGGTTAAAACAAGTTAAATATATTTTAAGGCTAAAGAACTACTGTGTCAACATGGACTGAGAATCTTCAACCTGGAGATCTTTTATCAAGAAACGTTTATTTTGTTTCCTGCTCCACAACATACACACTTTATATATACATGCATACATATAAGAAAATACTTGTAGGTAATAATAGTCAAGATTACTTTGTTCTTGTTCCATCATTTCCACAGATGTAAGAAATAATAATTATGAGAACTTACTCTTATCTTGTAATCAATACTTTGCAGAGTAATCAATAAACTATCATTGTAATAATGAGTTATTTGCCTCTCATGCCTCCAATTTACTAATCATCAAATAGCAGGTCCAATTGTAATCAAAACTAAAGTGCTGAGTTTTACGTGGAATTATGAATGATTGTTAGCACACTATTTAAAATCCAATTCAAATGCCAACTAATTACTGAGGGGTGAATCTAGAAATAAAACACACCTGCTATTGCTATATTTCTGAAACTCTAACAACCATTAGTAACACTGAATTCTGCTGGCCATAAGTTACTTTGACATCAGAACTGGGGTGAAATTAAATCTGAACATGAAAACTTTCTTCTCTACACCTGAAGATCTTCTTTTTCAAAAAAGATTGTATAGAATATTTCTATACAAGTAAATCCTTTTTAACACAACACTCTTTACTGCACATATGAATCAAGTATGAATGAAAGAGCTCAGGGTTTTATAAACAGTGGAATAAAAATAAACTATAAAGAAAAAAGTAAGAAAAAAATCCAAGTAACAAGATATATTTAGTCTATAGAGATAATAGAGAAATTGACATGTACAATTTGAGAGTCAGAAGAATCTTAAAGATTAATTAATCTACTTCAGGTTAAAGACTGTAAGCTGAATCTATGCATTTGTTTCTGCTATTACTATAAAACTCACTAAAATCCAGGTATAGGGACCTTTAAAAACCATAAACCCATAAAACAAATAAAATGGAAAAGAACAGAAGAGATACAAAGTCTAGCCTCCAGAAAAATAGAATGCTGATTTGCTCACAGGTTGGATATACCAGAAACATAGGGAAGGTAGGGTAGGAAATTTAGGAGGATTAAGAAGCAGCTAGACTACCAGATGATCTGCTCAATTTAGCAGAAAACTGGAGGCATATTATCTGGAAAGGGTAAAACAGAGAGACACCAGGTGCTATTAACTAAATGTTTACATTTTTCAAGATTTATATATTGAAGCCTAATCCCCAACTGGGTGATATTTGGAGGTGTGGCCTTTGGGAGGTGATTAGGCTCAGATTAGGTCGTAAGGGTGGGCCTCCCATGATGGAATTAGTGCCCTTATAAAAAAAAGAAAGACACATGAGATTTCCCCACCCCACCCCCTCTGCCATGTGAGGTTACAGCAAGAAGGCAGCCATCTGCAAACCCCGGAAAGAGTCCTCACCAGACATCAAATCTGCTGGCACCTGGATCTCGAATTTCCCAGCCTACAGAACTATGAGAAATAAATGTATATTGTTTAAGCCACCAATCATATGATACATCGTCACAGCTTCCTGGACTAACATACTGTGCAATGGTGAAAGCAGCCACACTGCCCTTATAATCAGGAGATTAGCTGAAAGATTATCATCAGAATGTGGAAACATTTGCCCTCTGCCCCCTCCCCCAGTGGCCTCCTAGAATGCTAATATCCAGGCTTAGGCCCTCCAAGCAGATGGATAGAAGATTGTTCTCCAGGGCAATGTTCCTATCCTGGGGATCTTGTGAAAGATTTTATCAGTAAGTTTGAGGTTAGGCCAGAGATTCTGCATCTAACAATCTTCTGGGTGATGTGGATACTGTTGGTCAGAGTCCATACATTTAGTGGGAGGTCCCAGAATCTCCCCAGCACAAAAGACCGATAAAAAGACCTGGTTGGATCCATCTAGAGTGAATGCCAATCGGCTTTCTAGCATCCCATTTCACAATACGAGCAAACAGCCAAGGACTTCACAACATCTGAAGAATGCCTCTAATATAAACAAGTGAGACTCAACTGACACAGGCAATTTGAAGGGAACAGATATTATGCCATGAGATGGACACTATCATTAATATCCTCAGAAAGATCAGAGAATACCTTTCATTCATGAAATAAGAACAGAATTTTATTTAAATAAAAAATAGGAGGAAATAACTCCTAGAAATTGAAATTTCAATATTAGGAATAAAAGAAGGATTAAAAGAGGACACTGAAAGAAAAAAATAAGGGGAAGAAACGGAAAAAATAAGGACAAGAAAATGAAAAAAAAAATAAAAGAGAGTCAGAAAATATTATTCCAGAAGGCCTCAGAACTCAATAATAGACCACCCACACACACACAAAAGGGAGAGAACAAGTAAAATATAGAGGGGGAGAAAATTAAAGAAATAATCCAAGTAAGTTTCCCAGCAATGATGAGTTTCCAGACTGATAGAACACATTGGGTGCTCTGCAATGAAAGAATTATACCCACATCTGGGCACATCATCATGAAATTTTTGTACGCTGATGGCAGCTAAAAATAGTTAAGAGACTGAGAAAGAGAGAAAGAAGAGATCTCACACCAAAGATTAAAATGACTTAGGGCCAGGCACAGTGGCTCACGCCTGTAATCCCAGCACTTTGGGAGGCCAAGGAGGGTGGATCACGCGGTCAGGAGTTCAAGACCAGCCTGGCCAACAGAGTGAAACCCTATCTCTACTAAAACTACAAAAAATTAGCCGGGTGTGGTGGCAGGCACCTGTAATTCCAGCTACTCGGGAGGCTGAGGCATGAGAATCACTTGAACCTCGGAGGCAGAGGTTGCAGTGAGCCAAGATCGCACCACTGTACTCCAGCCTGGGTGACAGAGTGAGACTCTGTCTCAAAAAAACAAAACAAAACAAAAAAACAAACAACAAAAAAATTACTTAGGATTTCTCAACAATAACACAGGAAAACTAGAAGACAAAAGAGCAATGCCTTCAAAATTGTGTGGAGAAACGAATTTCAACTTAAAATTCAATGTACAGCCAACTTTGCATGGGGATAGGCCACTTAGGGATGCAAAGGCTGAGATACTTATCTCCAACGTATTCTTTTTTATTTTTATTTTTAGAAGGAGTCTCGCTCTGTCATCAGGCTGGAGTGCAGTGGCATGATCTCAGCTCATTACAATCTCCCCCTCCCAGGTTCAAGCCATTCTCCTGCCTCAGCCTCCCAAGTAGCTGGGATTACAGGCGCATGCCACCATGCCCAGCTAATTTTTGTATTTTTAGTGGAGATGGGGTTTTACCATGTTGGCCAGGCTGGTCTCAAACTCCTGACCTCAAGTAATCCACCCATCTCAGTCCAAAATATTCTTTTCCAGGAAACTATTAGAGGACATATTATACCAAAATCAGACAGTAAATCAAGGAAAAGTAAAGACAAGAAATTTATGAAATAGGGAATCCAACTCAAAAGAGAGATGCAGGAATTCATAATATCTGAAACTTCTCAGCTCTAAATAGTGCTCTTATTAGTAAGATAGCTAACAATGTTAATATCGGAAAGTTGGGGGGATGGTGTGTGACAGGGGCTGGATTAAATTTAAAGAACTAAAATCTCATCTTCCTTTGTGTTTTATTTATTTATTTTTAATTATTTATTTATTTATTTGAGATGGAGTCTCGCTCTGTCTCCCAGGCTGGAGGGCAGAGGCGCGATCTCTGCTCACTGCAAGCTCTGCCTCCTGGGTTCACGTCATTCTCCTGCCTCGGCCTCCCGAGTAGCTGGGACTACAGGCACCTGCCACCATGCCCAGCTAATTTTTTGTATTTTTTTTTAGTAGAGACGGGGTTTCACCGTGTTAGCCAGGATGGTCTCAATCTCCTGACCTCGTGATCCGCCCGCCTCAGCCTCCCAAAGTGCTGGGATTACAGGCGTGAGCCACTGCGCCAGGCCTTCTGCTGTGTTTTAAGAGATAATTATTAAAGGTGAAAAACCAGAGCTAGCACTATTACCATATTATTTAGATATAAGTAGAAAAATACCATGAGAAAATAGCTAAAAAGAAGTGAAAACAGTTGCCTCTGGGAAGTGGGACATGACAGAGCCGATGATGGTTTACAACTCTTTAAACTATGTGTTCATATGATTTTTATGAAAATGGAATAATGATAACTTGTCTAACACACTCATTTTCATTATGAAGGTCAGAAGATGACCTTTTCCTGGGTCCTTCAACAAGCTGCCTTTGAGAATCAAGACCAGAGTGTTTCATTGTTTCAATATTTAAACTGGAATGATTCTGTTACTAAACAAAATTACAGTCCAAGTTTAGATATTTGTTCACTTATTTATTTAACTGAAATCTATTGAATGCCAACTAGGTTCTCCATGGGTATAGTGGTAAGCAAACCAGACCCGGTCCCTGCCCTTACAGCGTTTATAAGTGGCTAAGAGATAGTATAGGGCATTTACAGCTAACTGTGAGAAGACCACAGGATTTGGAAATTAAGTCCCCTAATTGTATACTCATCTGTTTCTTTCCTTCATTCCCCATGAAAGTTTTTCTCCCCACATACAAGATAATTCTTGACTTCACTTCCAGACACAGTAAACACCAGAGCAATTTATTTTTCCCTTCTTCCTCTGAGCTAAGAGTCCAGCCATCAGCCAGTGAAGTATGGCCTTTGAACGACTTCATATTTCCATGTTAATGTTGCTTTGTCACCAACATTTCAGCCCATAGACTGGCTGACAGCCCTCTCTGGGCCACAGAAACCACCAGCTGGTTGTGGAACTAACAATTTACATCTCATGGTCCAATGAGGATCCAGCAATAAGTTGATTTTGTTGAAGATTGTGGAACTACATGAGAAATTGGCCACTTACCTACTTCCTGATGCAAACATGACATAAGTAATCCTACTTAAAGGAACAGCCACATAATCTAGATAATTTGAGTCTTTCTCTAGCTTTTCAAAAAGAGCTTCAAAAGGCAAACTATTGATGATCTCTATCAAAGTTGCTTTCCACCCTTTTAGGCTCTCAAAAGTTGAGTATTGAAAATGTTTGGCACTTAAAACATGGTATACATAAAATATCCCAAGTCTTACTTTTTAGCGTAATCAAAGTAATTATCATGATTCTAGTTTCACCTATAAAACTCTCTTGAAAAAATGAGATGTTCTAATTTTAGCTCCTTATTCTTTACTCCAAATGAAGACTTTTTCAGTCTGTTTCAGGAAGAGTTTATACACTTCCATTCATTCTCTTACTGACAATTCTGAATGTCAAATGGAGGCAGAATGGCGCTCTCCCAGGGAGCTCAGTCCCCATAATGATGGGTGTTCAACCAAAGAGTGCTTATTAATGGTTGTTCTTGGGGGCTTTCAGGCTGGTGGGCCACCATTCCCCAACCACTTCCTCTCAGACTGGCAATTCATCATCACAGGGAAAATTCCAGTATTATAACTTTTTCCTGTACTGGCAAAACTGCTGTTTCTCTAAAGGTAAACCTAAAACGTATGTCTTTTGATTCTGTAGGGTCTACCAAAGCAATTTTTTGTGTGTGTTTCTACTTACAGATTTTAACTTCTAAATAGAAAGTAGAAATTCCAATTAGAAGTGGAAAGCCTAAAGTATCTTTGAACAAATATCCTTCTTTTCCTACCAAATTCCTTGACAATAATGAAGACAATAAAGTAATTAGTGCATTGCAAGAAGCACAATAGCAATGAGTATATATATTCACATATATATGTATACATATATATGTGAGTATACATATATACACATATATATGTATACATATATATGTGAGTATATATATATACATATATATGTATGTGTATACATATATCTGTGAGTATATATATACATATATATGTGTGTATATACATATATATACGCAGATCTTGAAGAAAGTTAATCAAAACACCTTCATCAATTGAAAATGACAACATTTTCACAAAGATATAGAAATTAACCATAGGCACAGCTTATTAAGAAAAAATATAATTAAAATTCAAAGCCAAAAACTCTTTTTAAATCTCATTAAGGACTCTAAGTTAAAAATCTGAATTTTAATCTGTGGATTGAAAGAATTATTGTATTGCTTCCACCATAGAAAAGTTATTAAAATCTTAATAGGTTTTTCCTTTAGCAAAAATACAAGTTAACATACAATTTTAGATATTTTTCTTAATTCTGATTATTCACTACATGTAGATAGGAAGTAGTGAGGTTTTAAATACATTTGTTTCATCAGTGCAGTAAAAAGCACCCTAAGGACACTAATTAGCTCAATTTTCTCCAACTGGTCAATTAAGTACCACTTCCTTCTTATTTCAAAATTACATAAAAGTTTAGGCTTTTTAAAAATAACTCTTCCCTATTTTAACAGCTCAACTGTGCCCCTGTATCCATTCTCTCCTTAATCAAGTCTCCCTTGGTCATGATTGCCAGATACATCATTTTTTTTCTTCCAACTTTTATCGTGGGAGATGTGTGTGCAGGTTTGTTTTTTTCTTCCAACTTTTATCGTGGGAGATGTGTGTGCACGTTTGTTACATGGGCAAATTGCATGTTGCTTGGATTTGCTGTACAAATTATTTCTTCACCCAGGTAGTGAACACAGTACTCGATACATAGGTTTCAATCTTCATTCTCCTCCCACCCTTCACCCTCAAGTAGACTCTGGTGTCTATTGTTTCTCTCTCAATGTCCACAAGTCCTCAGTGTTTAGCTCCCACTTTTGAGTGATAACGTGGGGTATTTGGTTTTCTGTTTCTGCATTAATTTGCTTAGGATAACAGTCTCCAGCTGCATTCATGTTGCTGCAAAGGACATGATTTCATTCTTTTTATGGCTACACGGAATTCCACAGTATAGATGTACCACATTTCCTTTATCCAGTCCAACACTGATAAGCAGCCAGATATATCTTGATAGTATCAGAAGTCCTGCTCAAAAATGTATACTGGCTCTAAATTGTCCACAGGATAAAGGCTGGGCATCTTAGTCTGATCTTCAAGTCCATTTCAAATGATATCTCAACTCACCCTTCAAAGCCTGTAGCTATAATGAACTGCTCTCCCATTCCCCAGGTAATTACTGGACCTTCCTCCCTCTATGCACAACGCATGCCACTCCCTGTTCCTAGGATCTCTCCCTCCATCTGCCCTGTGCTTTAGCCGCCCCTGCCCAATCAGATCCCCAGCGAGATTACACATTCACAAGAACTTTCTTCCTCTCGGCATGGCAATGAACATATGCTGACTTATATCACATGTAAACACATCTTCCATTCCTTCTTGGATGGGCTGAGTCGACTTGTTATAATCCCAGCTTGTTATGATCATAACAAGTTATGATCAGACACATTGCTTCATAAAAAAGGAGTTTAATAAATGTTTGTCGAGAGATGAATAAATGGAAAAAACACATGATAAGCAGAAAAGTCTAGAACAACACAGTTTCCTAATAAATATTAGAATGTAGAAAAGCCCAAAAGTATTTCTTTTGCCCAGAAGCTGCTCATTTGTCTTTATCCAAGAATTTCAAACCCCAACCTTTACATCCGGCCCCTATCCAGCCTTCTTACTCACCAGGGTACACAATGTACATCTCAGCCCTCTCATTTCAGCACTCTTATTGAATTCTTACCTCTGATTTCCGGTATAACAACTTCGATTGTTAAGGGGAAACAATAACTAGCCTGTAGTAATTTTTTGCTTACCCATGTTCATAAGGAACTGAGCTATGTGATAAACCCAAATATACAGTGAACTGGGAAGTTTAGTTTTGGCCAATGATTTTCACCTCTTGAAATAACTCACTCGTCATGTTATGATTAGTATATAAAAAACACAGGCACATTCACTCCTCTCATTCTCAAGAGCTTCTTGAAAAACAGAAATAACTAAAAGGTAAGCAACAAAATGTGAAGAGGAACAATGAGTCAGTAAGTCAGCTTCTTTAAAGTCTAAACAATAATCACCAACGGGCTGTATTATCAATTAACCATATATTATATTAAATCATATCTAAAATCAAAAGTCTTACTAAGACAAAGAGAATCAGGAGCAGAACTTGAAGTTTCTAGGAACAGCTGCGTGGTTTCATCTTTACCTACCCATGGGATTTTATGCTTTTTAGATCCAAGCCAACTTCAGCAAATCCTTCTGTGAGATTGGAACGAAGCTCAGAGAGAGACTCCCACGGAAGAACATGTTTAGTCTAGATTTCTTGGGACTGTTTTAGGACTACTCAGGGGCATCAGTGCAACACCAGGCTTGTTCTCTATTGCTTTTTCACTGCCCTAGTTCTTGAACCAATGGAGGTGCTGCCCGGATGTTGCATCCCACTCCCCAGAAATTCCTTCCTGAACCATGGCAGTATACCTGGGAGCTACAAAACCACAATTGAGGATTTGAGAATTTCATAGTCAAAAGCATCTAAAATATGTCTTTATGTTTACACAATGACATCAATAGGAAAATGCCATATCTATCTTCTCAATGAAAAAAATCGGAAGCCAAGATAATGTCTTCATTGGCTATAGAGGAGGCTACTACTTGTGCTTTGCAGTTAGCAACAGCTATGAAATCTGAAGGGTGATGTGTGTAATCCAACAGGGCTTTCATCATATATAGAAGGCTTAAGTTCACATGACAGTTATACACAGGAAGGCATTCACTGTCTATTGCTTGATTCCATTTCCCTCATATGAACTGTCTTGGAAATGTCATTGTAATCTGTCAAGGGGCTAACTGTTTTTAAACTTTAAAAACATTCAGCCTCCTGATTATGATGATGATGAGGCAGTTGATGCATACAAAGTACGAAGGCCATGATGACCAGAAAGTTTTTGTCAAACAATAAATCAGTCATTCATGACCGGAATAAACTAATAAAATACAAACCAAAGCCTTGACCAAAGCCAATAATGCAAAATGCTTTCTTCATTTTAGAGAAGAGAATAATGCCTAGTAGAAAACAATGCAGCAGATAAAGGTAAAATTTCTCCTGGTATAGGGAAGAGGCTGGGGGACAGAGGCAAGTTCAAGAACGTAGGCATGAGATTAAACTTCTTCCAATGCCCTCTATTGCTTCTTCATTTAGACTAAAAATGTAGCCACTTTATGTGGCTGACTTCCGCCTTAGAGTTCTCTGTGTCACTATGGAGAAAACGGAAAATGTGGAGGTGAGTGAACCTCTGGATTGTATGCAGTATGTTTTATTTGATTTCACATAGCATTTATTTTCCAAAAACAGGGCATTTTAAATCATTCTGCTGTTTTCTGTTACATTTCTATTCTGTTTTATGACCTGTCTCAATTGTTATAGATGCAGAAACTTACTGCTTCCATAAAGCAAATGCTTTTCTGACAAATTACTGAGTATAGTCAGAATAAGAATTATCTTACCATATTAACTGAAATACTGGCCAATAGCATTCATGAATATTCAGAGATCTTCCCATGGTATGTCCAAAGGACTCTAAGCTATTCGTTTTTCCCCAAATGGAGTAGCCTGGCTTTTCTACTAAATTCTCACTTTCCATCATACTTTCCAATGAAGCTTTGAAGTAGAAGACCCAAAGCTTTGAAAATATCGATTTTGGACAATGTTAGCAATTTATGTCTTTATCCATTGTCTTATATGTCAATTTCCCTATGAATAAACTTTAATTTACTTCCATCTCCATTGGGGAGGGGGAGGTTGGTGGAATATCATGTCAGAAAGGTTGGTAACATACTTTAAAAATGACTATTTTCAGTTCAAATCACAGTTTGGTTTTCGTGGGATTTAATTTCCACTGAACAGAAACCGAGTACATATGTATTTGATTTCCCCTTAAGGGTCGGTTATGGATGAATGGAGGAACGAGAGAAAATGCAACAGAGAAACCTTCTAGCAGTATAGACAGACAAGTCCATCTTGCCTTCCATCACATGTTTCTGATCTTTTGGTGTCGCCGAAATAAAATGTCTGGCTAGCATATTGTAACTTAGGCTAAAAAAGTAGAAGAGAATCAAACAATTGTCAAAGGTGATCAACTGCATGTATATTGTATATTAAAATTCTAATTAAATAAAGCTGTGAGGTTCTTCAGCTATTAAAAATGTCATCAGCAAAGAAGCTAATTTGTGTCTGACCAGGGCTTTTACAGTAACTGATTACTTACAGATGCCAGGTCCCCCAGGGAACTTTTGCCACCTGTTTTCAATTTGTGGATTGGAGGCCTTACCCTGATGAAACTTACTGGTCTGACACTGGGTTATGCCATCTGTTGCAATGATGTTGGTACTTAATCAATAGTTTTACAGGATACCATCTACATCACTGAAAGACATTTTATTTGAGTATTTCCTCTATATCCTGCTACTATTTACAATATATGAAAATAAAATGGCTTGGATGAATAGCACTGCTCAAATATCACAACCCTGCACAGTTGCTGAATAAGTTCAAAATGACACTCCGCCCCAAAACCAAACAGATTTTTAGAAATGGGCCGGGTGCGGTGGCTCATGCCTATATTCCCAGCACTTTGGGCGGCCAAGGCAGGTGTATCACTTGAGTCCAGGAGTTCGAGACCAGCTGGCCAACAAGGTGAGACCCCCATCTCTACTAAAAACAAAAAAATTAGCCAGGCATAGTGGTGTGCGCCTGTAGTCCCAGCGACTCAGGAGGCTGAGGCTGGAGAATCAGTTGAACCTGGGAGGCGGAGGTTGCAGGGAGCGGAGATCGTGCCACTGCACTCCAGCCTGGGAGACAGAGTGAGACCCTGTCTCAACAACAACAAAAAAGCAATGAAGGAGATCAGTGAGGTCATCGTATTTAATCACTCATCTAATACAAGAATTCCTTCCACCATAAACCTGAACAATTGACTTCACTTTCCATTTGAACAGGGTTCACTGTCTCAGAGCAGTTCATTTCCACTTTAATTAAACAGCTGGCAATTGTACAAAACCCATCTTAACGCTGAGTGGAGACCTGTTTACTTGTAACTTCAACTTACTGATTGTTCTATTGTCCAATGCAATGACATAAATGAAGCCTAAATCTGACAGCCTTTCAAATATTTGAACTAACTTATCTTTCTCCTCAAGTCTTTTCTAGGTTAAAATATTCCAAGTCCTTTCAGCTAATGCACATAATATTTGTTCCCTTTTCTTCATAATTTTAGTTGATAGAAATCAGATCTGTTTCATCAACATTAATGTAAGCCATGTTCTCTGAAAACACAATACCAAATAATAGTCTTAATTAGGATGCATCTTTGATTTTTCTGGAAAGCAAACTTCGGTCAATATAGCCTAATGCTACATTCACTTTTGATGCAGGATGATCTGATTTTTTACTGTTTTCTCTGCTTTAAAATGAGAAAGAAAGCAAGTCGTGCTGCTAAGGTGGACATGACATAGTATCTGCAATGTTTTTTCAGTATGCTGTAACATCGCTCATTTGTACCTGGAATCTTCAGCTGATTTTAAGTGGTAAGGTCTGATTTTAACATATTTTCACATATTTAATCTCCTCTTATGTTTATTATTATACTTATTATTATAATTGTTTTCTCTTAGTATGTTTATTCTATTTTTTCTAGTTCGAAGATTAGGTTTCATTACAGTAAGAAATGAAATAGTGTTTTTTCTGGGTTTAAGCCCAAATAACTAAATAATACTGTGTTTTGAGGCCATTTTGTTACTTTCTTTTGATTTGTCTTTTTCAATTCCCATTTCATCCAGATACAGTGCAGTTCCTATCCTTTCTTTTTACTTGTCTTTGATACTGTTACCATCTTTCTGTGTTCTAGGCATATCTTATAAAAATCTAGCCCAATATGAGAATGCTAATGAACTCACATTGGTTCCCTAAATTACTATTTTTTGCTAAACAAGTCCATTGGTGATTTTCTACACCCAAAAATTTAGATTGATGCAGCTAATACACTGTACCAAAGCATGTATGTTACACATTTTTGCTTTCTAGATAGAGATGGGGAATGTGATGGTGTCATTATAGTCACATTTTATACAAGGTTGGCTGCTCCAACTGAGTATAAAATCTGTGCCATAAAACAAGTCTCGCCATGAGGTTGCCATCTGTTAGCACTGACAGAGAGGGGCTGGGATTTACGTCTGGGCAGACCTTTCACAGCTCCGGAATGTGGCTGTGGAAACAGCGACCCAGCACCAGCTGTGATAATCACACTGCTAGGTCCTGGGAGCCCTCTCCCCAGTGTTTCCCCCTGGCCTCTGCATTGCAGGCCAGGATATGTGAGGGAAGCATGCTGGGGGAAAAAAAAAATGGTAACGCGAACCGTTCTCTTCCCAGGAGGCCTGTTCTCAAATTATGGGTCTCTCAGCACAGTGGGAATGTCTCAGGCCTAGTGTGGTGGGACTACAGTCTTGCTTAATGTTCAGTGGTATTAAGGAAGGTGAAGGGAAGGAAAAGGAAGAGAAAGACTAGTTCAATCACAAAATGCAAAACTGTGTGTTAAATTCATGAGACAAAATAATTTAATAAAATAAGCTCCTTTAATGACATTTCACTTGCTGCTTTACCCCATTTAAAAATGTGACCCAAATTATGATATGGATCTATTTCTATATCTATATCATACAGCTGCATTGGTCTACTCATCTATGTGTGTACATATACACACATGTTTTATATATATGTGCACATATATATTTTTTATATATGTGCACATATATATTTTATATATGTGCACATATATATTTTTTATATATGTGTATACATACATTTATTATATATGTGTACATATACATATATAAAATAAAATGGCTGATACACATATATGTGTATATATACACATATATGTGTACTTACACATACTATATACACATATCTAATTTTAAGTGTGTATATATGTATACGTAGTATATATATGTGCATGAGTACATATATACTATATATACACATGTATATGTGTGCGTGTTTATATATATACTATATATATAAAGAGAAAGAAAGAAATATGACTTTACTGTGTGTTTTTTAGTACCTGCAGTTCTATAGTTATATATTTCTCTAATTTGTAATACTGATGATTACAATGTGATTATAATAGCACTTCCTAGTCTTCCCTAATTCAGGAAAATTGCTGAAGGTCTACTTGTCCCACTTTACTGATACCTAAAAGAAGCATCTTCTAGAATTGAGACTGAGATCTTGTTAATAAGAAGGGCACTGTCAATCCATTGAGGACTACTGAGATATAATTAAATTAGGAACTTCATTCTAAAACCAGGGCATACAAGCCCAGTGTTAATAATGGCTGTTTGAGGCCATGCCAGAGTCTGAAGTTAATCATCTTGATTTCTGAGATTCATACATTAAGACACTTTCATTGAATTATGTAACCCCCCCCCCCAAAAAAAACTGTTTTCCAGAGAAATCTGCTGTGCTCCTGCAGACCGGGATGGTTCAAGTACATGCAACAATAAGCTTCCTGACTCACAGAAGCCAAGGTATGTGCTAGCACCACAAACACAGCTTTATTATTCCAGAAGCAGATGTCTGATTGTATTGGCAATGTGACACACAGAACAAGTGGGAATTGTTGGTACCCAGGAATCCCAGATGACATACTAAGGAATTCAGGTGATGTGAAAGTAAGTTATATTAAAAGGTGATTTCTTTGGCAAAAGCATAGCATTTGCCTTGGGACCAAAGGCACATATCCACCTGTTCAATGGCAGTACCTACCGCCACCAAAAAATGGCCAATAGTCCATGGCAATTATTCAAAATTATCCAGGATAAGACTTTATGATTATGGTAGAACTCCTTCTCAAAGTGTTTGCAGTCTGCCTTGAAACTCTGTCAATCACATTAATCACAGCTAAGTCAGCTGATTTCAGTGCCCAGTGATAGAAACATTTTTAGGAAGTCAAAGATTCTAATGGATCATCTAGTTTAATAGCACCCTCAAGCAAAGGGCCATTGGTTTCATGTGATACTCAATTTTGAATAATGCAAATTATTTCATGCTGTGAAATGCATTACTGTAGAAAAGTGGCCAAACGAATTTCCAAATTTCTCTGTGCAATATTCAAAATGTCATAAATTAAATATTGTCTCTGAAATGGGGACTTGCAAGCAGGATAACTGTTATGGAGCACTCTCAGGAACAATTCCTACCTACAAAGGCGTGAGGGAAGCTGGATTAAGCAAAGAGAAAATTTAATTGCAAAGTGGTTGCAACAGAAGCCTGGGTTGCTCCCAGAGGGAGATCTGGAGCTGGAAAGGCTCTTAGAGTTGCCCCCTATGGAGGCATAGAATGCAGGGAAAGAGCCTGTTATTAACCAGGCACTCTGCTAAGGTTAGGAGATAGTGAAGAAAAAAAAAACAAAAACAAATGGTGCCTGCCCTCAAGGAGCTCAGGCTCTGTCTACTGGGGCAGAGAGACACGAAAACAAATAAAAACACAGCAAGGGGACAAGTGCTGTGACAATAGTGTGTGATCCTGTGCCAGAGAAACTGCATAAGCAACCCACACCCAAGGCTCAGAGGCATTACTACATGAATATAGCTAGGATGATGTGTGCTTATTATATTTCCTATAGGGATTGTTTTTAACTCCTTTCAGTGTATTGCTCTTTTGAGTTTCTGAGTTATTTCTTCTGCAGTGATGAAAAATGGAAAGCTATTTAGTATATTATGCAGGAATGGGAAGCTGGAGATTGGAAAAGGGCCAATCCTGAAACTCCATTTTGCTCTCATAAAGGACTGAGGAACATCAGCCCAACCTCCCTTCCTTCTTATTGTTGTGCTTACCCAGTTGAAAACCAACCAACCGACAAAAGATAAAGTTGTAAGCCTCTAAGGGTAAGTTGGAGCCGGCTCCCCAGAATCAATGGTCTGCATCTCTCACCAAATCCATTTCAGTGTGGTCTGGCCAGTAACTTGACTTCAGTCTTCAGCCATGGTGGGAATAGCCAAAGAAATTGGCAGAGGCTACAAATCAGGGGCTTTTTCTTTCCTCAGAGAGTCTGTTGTTAAATGTTCACTGGCAGAACATTGCTTATAACCGATGATGCTGTTTTGGCAAAGTGTTCCTAGTTGCCATATTCTTTATATTTTTCCCAATAATGAATTTGCCATTATTGCACTTACACATTTTAGAATCACTGCATGTAGAAGGTGAAAAACTAATGCTACCTTCCCCAAGAAGCAGACTGCAAGCTCAATTTCTGACTTCAGGCAGGACCTAAAGCCTAAAGAAACAAAAGCTTGTTTTTTGTTTTTTTTTTTATTATACTTCAAGTTCTAGGGTACATGTGCACAATGTGCAGGTTTGTTACATATGTATACATGTGCCATGTTGGTGTGCTCCACCCATTAACTCGTCATTTAAATTAGGCATATCTCCTAATGCTGTCCCTCCCCTCTCGCCCCACCCCACAACAGGCCCCGGTGTGTGATGTTCCCCTTCCTGTGTCCATGTGTTCTCATTGTTCAATTCCCACCTATGAGTGAGAACATGCGGTGTTTGGTTTTTTGGCCTTGCGATAGTTTGCTGAGAATGATGGTTTCCAGTTTCATCCATGCCCCTACAAAGGACATGAATTCATCATTTTTTATGGCTGCATAGTATCCCATGGTATATATGTGACATGCACACATATGTTTATTGTGGCACTATTCACAATAGCAAAGACTTGGAACCAACCCAAATGTCCAACAATGATAGACTGGATTAAGAAAACAAACAGAAGCTTGGTTCTAATCAGTGCTCTCAGTGGACATTTTCTCTCTCTTTGGACATTTTCCATCATGCCCTCCCCAAAATCTGTACTCTTGGTTCAAATACATCAGATGTCAGATGAAAATAAAAGTAATGGAAAGTGTTCATACTCTAGTAGGAATTCAATGGAGTGTGTTACTTCTGATTTCAAGGGAAATGAATGTGTGAGGGATTCCCCTTCCTTTAATGTCTACTTCTGAAATATTGTAAACCTGATGTATAAAGTGAGCTACCAACAGAAAGAATCCAGACAAAGGAGTCTCTCCATAGATAGGGAAGGGAGGGCTCTGAGCTACAGCCTATTACACAATCAAGAAAGAGAAAAAAATAAACTTTTTTTTTTTTTTTTTTTTTGAGACGTAGTCTCGCTCTGTCGCCCAGGCTGGAGTACAGTTTCACGATCTCGGCTCACTGCAAGCTCTGCCTCCCAGGTTCACGCCATTCTCCCGCCTCAGCCTCCCGAGCAGCTGGGACTACAGGCACCAGCCACCAAGCCCGGCTAATTTTGTTTTTGTATTTTTAGTGGAGACGGGGTTTCACCGTGTTAGCCAGGATGGTCTCGATCTCCTGACCTCGTGATCCGCCCAGCCTCGGCCTCCCAAAGTGCTGGGATTACAGGCATGAGCCACTGCAATTTATAAGTAAAGATGGCTGAGCCGGGCGCGGTGGCTCTCGCCCCTAATCCCAGCACTTCGGGAGGCCGAGGCAGGCGGATCACGACGTCAGGAGATCGAGACCATATTGGCTAACACGGTGAAACACGTCTCTACTAAAAATACAAAAAAATTAGCCGGGCGTGGAGGCATGCGCCTGTAGTCCCACCTGCTGGGGAGGCTGAGGCGGGAGAATGGCGTGAAACCTCGAGGCGGAGCGTGCAGTGAGCCGAGATCGTGCCACTGCACTGCAGCCTGGTTCACAGAGCAAGACTCCATCTCAAAAAAAAAAAAAAAAAAAAAAAAGTAAAGATGGGTGCATGAGACTCCATCTCAAAAAAAAAAAAAAAAAAAAGAACCTCCTTTTCATCACATTTTATCATATTACTGTTGTAAGATAGAATCCTAGTTTCAAACAGAGGATCTGGGATGTATTTTCACTGTAAGCTCTCCTGGGAAAAATGACAAGACATAAAATCATCTAAGTGCTCTAAACTCAGTAAGATTTAACTTGCAACATTCATCCCTTTATTTCCTGAAACAAGTATCTCATATATAAGACTTTTTCCTAAATTTTAGCTTTATGGCAAGAAAAATCCCTGATTTATTTCTTTCCACATTTGAAACACAAATAAATATCGTCACTAAAAACACCTCATTTCCGCATGATAAAAGGCAATACATTCAGTATCATTTTCTTTCAAAAAAGGCATAGGAGATGTTATAATTGGAGCAAGCTCTCTGCTCACTTGGTATACTCCAATTGCCACAACAGAAAATGGATCCTTCAGATTTGTAAGCAAGTGCATGACACAGTAGAAAATGTGTCATCATTTTGAGGGCCCTCCTAGTATGGCAAAAGCATCACCCATGCAAAGCAATCAAGCTTCAATTCAGAAGTTGAGGCAAACCCTGATGAGGCTGAGCAAATTGACTCCTCTCATAGGTCACTGCGATGCTTCCTCAGAGCAAACATTTTTCCAAGACCTTTGTGCAATGTACCACCCAGTCATCAATGGCTGATGTGGGTATCAGTGCCATTTGACCCATTTAGGTGAACTACACACATTAACAGGATCAGCTTTGTCTCCCCTAACTTCCTGGAAAGTTAACCTAGCTCACTGCATGAATTCTAGAACTGATCATGTCATAAGACAACGATTCCTGCTGAACCCTCCTTACGCAATTTTTGTCACTTCTAGTGTATGAGATTTTGCTAACAATTTTTCTTTTCTTACAAGCTTTCTTTAATGTGACACTTGTGTCAGAAACTTAGTAGAATGCTAGGAACAAAAGGTTTTCAAGTTACACATACTCAGATGTGCTTAGAGCTCCACAGCGATCCAACTGTGGCCTCACATTGATCATCAGAGTACCACTATCTCATTTGGTTGGATTGTCATGATGCATGTTGATATATGCAGGGAGAATCAATGACTTCTATTTTGATCTTGAAAACAATGAGTTTGCACAGCGTACATCTCTGCCATGGGGTTACATCCATCTCCAGGAGAACAATGCAATAATTATTTCATTTGGGGTATTTTACCAGTAAGAAATCACAGAAGTACTGCCCCAAAACACCACAGAATTTTGTTATAAAAACACACAGGAAGCATCCTGCTAACAACAGCTAAGTAAATTCAAACAGCCCATGCCGTATGGTCTAACTAGTAGCTTTCAGAACTACCTAGCAACACAGAAATACAAGTCAAGGAAAGTAACTTACTGCTGCTCAGCTTCCTGAGGCGCTAAAACAACTGCTACACTTAAGCCTCCATTGATTTTATATTCTTAGTTTCCAGGGACAGCAAGCTATGTACACTGATGATTTGTATGCCAATTGATTATGCAAATAGCAACTGATTATGCAAATAGCAATATTGCTCAAGGTCTGTGTCGCTTTCATGTTTTAATATGAAATGTTTATTGTAATATGGAAGGAAAAAAATATGTAATCAGGCACCACAATTCCTTGGTCAAGGGATAAACAGGAACTGTCTTTGCTTGGAAAGATATTTTAATATGTGTTTGAACAGATGGTATGAGTGCAAGGTCATAGGACATTTGAAAAATTCAACTTTAGAGTATCTGGAGAGAAGTGTTCTACTTTCATAGAGGATAGAAGAATAAAAGAGGGTAGAGGACAGAATAGGAAGGAAAAAGAGAGGAGCTAGCAAAATCAAGAGGCCCCATCCTCACAAATGTAACAGGTTGGACTGCCCAAAAGACACTGCAAAGAGATAACCTCTGTTTCATTTGGCCAGTTTTTGTTTCTGTCATTTATTTTATTTTATTTTATTCTTCTTATTCATTTATTTATCTTACAGACAGGGTCTCACTCAGTCACCCAAGCTGGAGTGCAGTGGTGAGATCACAGTTTACTGTGACCTGGAACTCCAGGACTCAAGCAATACTCTCATCTTAGCCTCCCCAGTAGCTGGGAATACACGTGTGCACTACCACCCTGGCTAATTTTTTTTTTTTTTTTTTTTTTTTTGAGACGAGCTCTAGATATGTTGCCAGTCTGGTATCAAACTTTGAGGCTCAAGCAATCCTTCTACCTCAGCCCCCCAAAGCACTGAGATGTCAGGCATGAGCCGTCTTGCCTGGCCTTGTTACTGCAATTTAAACCCCTTCTCCAGATTTCCCTTTCCATAACAAGTATTTATGAAGTCATTACATTTTGTGTGAGTGATTGGGGAGGGACTCAAAGATGCTGTGGATTTTCACATCTGTGCCACATAGTACAGCACAGAAAAAATAGGTAGGTGACAGAACTCTGAAATAATAGACACAGAAAATGTCCTTAGAATTTTCAGAAATCCTGGCTGTGGCTCTGTATTTCTATAGGTCATAGAATTGGGGGTGAAAGTGTTGAACAAACTCTTCATAGAAGATCTTCAAAATCTGTGGGTCCCTAGGGTTTCATTTGGGTTCCTGGATGTTTTACATTCTAAATACATCTGGCACTCCCAGGAGAGGAGTTTATAAGTGATACATAGACCCCAGGTTTTAAATTGCTGATTTAAATAAAGACCTAAGCTATTTACTCTACACTGTGATATATCTCAGATACGAATATTTCTAAATTTAATTTAAGTAAGTATCAAGGAGACAAGCCATTTCAGGATTCTTAAATTAAGATATGAACTCTTAACACACAGTCAGCATACATTTAATAAAAACTTGGACAATGTCCTTGCTAAGAAAGGCACCAAATAAACTCACTGCTACAAAGACATCATTTTAATACTTGCTGTTTTCTTTTCAGTGATGAATTATTTTTTAGTAGCTTTTTATCAAAAGGTAAAGTTGGATGAGGCTTTGACCCCTTTATTTCTAGTAATAAGCTCTTTGATTTCATCTTCCTTTTTGGTTAGAAATGTGTTTCTCAGAAACACCAAGACAATCATTCCAGGTATCTTTATTATCCTTTCCTTAAAAATCATTCAACAGTTTTGTAAGATTTTAAGAAAAAGGGCTTATCAGATGGACAGTGGGATTTTTATGGAAGGGATGATAATCCTGGGTAAACTGCTCAACATCTCAGGATTAATGTCTTCATTTGTAAAATGAACATTTAAGGAAATGACAGTCCAAATTTAGCTTGATTTCTCCCTTCTATTCAGAAATCACAAAGAAGAGTAACAACTATGTTGCTTTCTGTTTCAACTTCTAATCAGAAGGCTGTCTGCCATAGGCCACAAAACCTGGTTAATGATCTGTTAGTGGCTGATCACTCAAGATTTCCTGTTAGCTACAAAATAATGTGCCTAGACAGCATTGGCAAACTGCTCCTCTTACTTCTCTGGAAACAAGGTCTAGTTGAGTTTCAGAACTTAATTTGAAAAACAAAACAAAACAAAACAAAAACTTACATACACTTTCTGATATATTTATTTGTATAGATTTAAACACAATTATTTGTGATGATCTGACCTTCCTTATACCTAATTTAAGATAAAATTTAAACAAAATCCCTTCCCCAGACAAATTCCGAACTGAGGGGGATAAAAGGCAGATAGCTTTGGAAGTAACTTCAAGTACTGAACTACGTTACAACCTCTGAGGTATTAATTCTAAATGCCCTGGAAAATCATATTTTACATGCAGTTCCAATTAAATGTAGAACAAGAGGAGATCTGGTTACAGAGATACTTGGCTTTATCAGACATTTCATTCATGGCCAAAGGGGATACGTCAGTTTTCCAGTTCAGATTTACATGTTTAGATGTCAAAGAACAGTAGAGCAAATAGGTTATAATTTATTTTAGGTCTGTAGGTTTTATTACATATTTACTCAAGCATATAGTGAGTGCTCAAGAAATTTCTCTCAGTTCAGAAAGGAATCTAAACGTTCACTTTCCACAATAGCATGAGACAGGTGTGAACAAAGCCATGGAATTAGTTATTTGTGTCTCTCTTAGAGAGTATACTGTATAACAGGTACCTCACTGCTATACAATCAGGCTTGATTTTGCCCTGAGGTGATAAAGAAGTAGGTTGTTATCCTCGTCTGCTCTTCTCTACGTGAAACACCAGCAATATACATAGAAACAACAATTTTCATTTAAGAAGAACAGGTGTTAATCCAAGAAGATACTAGATGCAATGAACAACAAGTTAAACTTGTAGCTGAAAGCTGAACTTAACAAGAATATGCAGATCTAAGTCAGACAATCTCAAAAGAATAATTTAACTATTTCACCTTGAGGAGATCACAATCAGAACAGTATTTATAGTTGTTAATCTTTCTGGTAGCACCTAATATATAGACTGCATAAAACTGAAACTCTAAAGAATAAATGTTACTGTCCCAGTAACTTTCATTGCAAAAACTAGATTTGTATTGCTAAGGAATGTGGAAGCAGAATGTAAATTGGTACAACTTCTTTGAAGACAGTTTAGCAACATGTATTAATAACTGCATAACCTTGACCCAGCAAGAACATATGGTCGAATTTTTACTAAAGGGCCCATCAAATCAGTGAACAAAAATGAATGCATGAGTCACTTCATCGCAGTGTTATTTGTATCAAAAACTGGAAAAGACTGACATGCCCATCATGAGGAGCCAGGTGACATATATTATGATGCATTAATTTAATGCAACATTATCCTGGCATAAACGTGGTAATTTCATGTGTTGATATGAGAAGAAGATATTTCCAGCGTATTATTAAGTTAAAAACCTTACAAAATTGACCTAATTTTTGTAAAATTCTATACATGTAATCCAAATGTGTGCATGACTAAAATGTTATCTGGAACTTTGTGTGTGAAAATACTTTAAGGGCTACTTTCGGGTATCAGAAACTCAGATCTTTTTATTTATATTAAACTTTCTGTATTTCACATATTCTTACAATGAGCATTTACAGTAAATCATTTATAGAGTCAACAAAGAACTACAAAGAGAGCAATATCCTTCTTAAAATGTGACACACATCAATAGTATACTCTCTGCTCAAAAACTAATTTCCACACAGTACCAGTTCAAAGACTAGAATGAGAGATGGAAGTAAGTTGGTACTAGTTTGCTTGTGAACTCTAAAAGCCCCAGTTTTCAAATAAAGCATATAAATCTTTTTTATGATTTATAAAATTTCCAAATTGTTGAATTTCATAAATTGAGTTGCCCTATATGAAGACAGGAACATTTGTGCTGATATTTCACAAATTATGCCAGTGCCCACAGAGTAGATACCTAAAACTGCCCTTTTATAATTAAACAGAATTGTTCCCAGTAGCACTTCTTAATTGCTAAGTTGTCTTAAGTTTTTACTATCTGCTCTATAAAATAGAAATGGTCATGTAACCTATGGGTGTAAAGCAAGGCATTAGTCATACACATTCCCGTATTGACATAGTTCAATACACTTGGACTAAGCCAATCAAAAGTTTTAGACAACGCTAGTATGTAAGACATGCATATAAGCACTTAACAGACACAGAATGTTCTAAATTCTAGGGACACATAAATATGTGAGACAGATACAGTCTGTGCCTTCATTGATCTTTTATTCCATCTCTCCTTTTGTCCTTCCATGTGTACATTTGCTCATTTATTCATTTACCTATTAATCTACATAATAAATCAGCTAGTGTCTATTATCAATCAGAGATTTGTAAATTCACAAGTCCAAAGGTTTCTTTGAGAGCTGATGTTTTTGCTGAGGAATGTTAATACTAAGATTCCAGAGCTGTACAATAGAAACGGAATGGGAGACACACATGTAATTGTACATTTTCTGAAAGGTAAATTTAAAGGTAAAATTAAGTTTAGTAATATATTCCAGTAAACCTGTCAGATCCAAAATGTTTTCATTTTAACATGCAGTCAATATAAAAAATGATTACTGAGATATGTTACATTGTTTTAAAAAATTTATTCAAGTGCTGAGACACCCCCCTGCACCTGAGAGTAGTTGCCATTCTTTCACTAATATTTCCAGTCAATTAAGACTCGTTTTCATGTAAAAGGGATTGTTTCAAAGCTGTGGAGATTACAGAAACAAATAAAGTATTTATAGTTTCAAGAATTTACAGCCTAATAGAGATGATATGTCCAATATCTACTCTAATAGAAAATTACGAGAATTTTTTTTTTAATGGAGTTTCACTCTTGTCACCCAAGCTGGAGTGCAATGCCGCAGTCTTGGCTCACTGCAATCTCAGCCTCTTGGATTCAAGCGATTCTCCTGTCTCAGCCTCCCAAGTAGCTGGGATTACAGGTGTCCGCCACCATGCCTGGCTAATTTTTGTATTTTTTGTAGAGATGGGGTTTCACCACGTTGACCAGGCTGGTCTCGAACTCCTGACTCAGGTGATCCACCCACCTCAGCCTCCCAAAGTGCTGAAATTACAGGCGTGAGCCACCACGCCCAGCCAAGAATGTTTCAAAATTTTAAATGAAGTGCCATGACAGGTCAAAGGAGGAGAGCTTCTTTCCAGTGTGGGAACAGAAAACAGTTATGAACAACTTCTTTTTTTTTTAAGCTGGGAATTTATTTTATTACAGAGCACCCAACGTATTCCAGGTATTGTGTATGTGTTTTACGTATTTTATCTTATTTGGTCCCTAAAACCATTGTATATTAAAAGTGCTGTATTACATTTACAGATAAGGAAACTCTGGCTAATAAAGCCACTTAACCTGAATGAAGGCAGCCCTTGGACCTGGGACCATGAGCTTTCTCTGCCTGACCTTGGATAGCACTGGTTAGAGAATATGGGTGCCATGTAGAAAGGTGATGAAAAGGGGAATCAAGACGAGGGTGCATTTCCCGGAAATGGGTTGGGGGATGTCATTTTTCTAGGAACATAGTTCAGTTTGGTACAAAATCCAGGAAAGAGGCTGGGTGCAGTGGCTCACATCTGTCATCTCAGCAGTTTGGGAGGCTATGCAGGAGGATCCCTTGAGGCCAGGAGTTTGAGGCCAGCTTGGGAAACACAGCAAGACCTTGTTTCTAAAAAAAAAAAAAAAATTGAAAAATGAGCTGGGCATAGTGGTGCATGCCGATAGTCCCAGCTACTCAGAAGACTGAGCAAGCACTCCAGCCTGGGCAACAGAACAAGACCCTGTCTCAGGAAAAAAAAAAAAAAAAAAAAAATCAGTGAAAGGCAGAAGGAGAAACAACTATAGGCAACAAGGAAGGCCCAACTAGAGCCCAATCTGGACTTCATTTAGTTGATAACAGAGAGTTAGGAATTTGTGAGAAAGAAGGTAATATAATCACCCATTTGCTTTAGGAAAAGGGTCCTGAAAGAAGTGTACAGATAGATACGACAGGGATGGGGGGGCAAGAGTGCCAGTTAAGGAATCACTTATGTGACCTCTCCTGTAAGTAGACCAAAAGGTGTTCTGATTATTTGCTGACTGCTTAAATTGTGACAGAAATATGTTTTTCCAACTTACATCCAATTCCATCTAACCAGTTTGAAACAATTTCATCATGCCTATTTGTTCTCTATATGAGCAATCTGTATTAAACATCAGTCTAAGTTAAAAATATCAATAAATGGAAATAGAACCCCAATATAATAGTTTTTTAGTCAGTCCGAAATAATTCATTTAAATTAAATTTAAAATAAGATACATGTAAATGAAGTGGTATTGTGAAAACAAAATTAACGCTCATGCCATGTTTTTGTTCTAAGTCCTATATAGACAATATAGACTACAAATGGATCATCAAAAATCAGATATCATGTGCAAATAATAAATTACTCCATTTTACAAAATGCAGATCATCTGCAATATCTGAATAAGCTGTAAGATGTTAGATGCTTACTCCTGGGTTTCTTCTCAAATAGCATTTACCAATTACGTTAGCTGCCAATTACACAAAATTGGCTTAGAGAGTAATTTTATTCAAAATGTCCATAAGGATAATAAAAGATTAATATACACCAAATTTTGTTTTCAGTAGATAATGTTAAATGGGCTGATAGAGAAAATCAGTCAATATACCAAAAGCTTATTATAGTTTTCATCAACTATCTACAAAGAAATTGCTTTAAAAGATAAGCCCACACATTTTGCTTAACTGAATCTACTGTTCTTTGATTATTATTCTCATAATCTCTGCCTATTCCAGTGTCTACCTCCTGAGTCCTCCTTCCATCAGATTCAGCTGGATTTATATCACTGCTGTAAATTACTAAGCTTCCAAAGACTCAAGCCAAGTTTTTAACATGATTTAAATGCACGATTTTATCACCCCGCCCACACTTCCAAAAATTATCAGCTGTCACTTTCATTTCCAGACTCTTTGAAATTAAAACAATCACCAAGGCTTGGAAGAACATCATTTCATCAAAACAGTACATTTGCTGTCATATTTAAAAGAAAAAAAAAACAGGCTGGTTTCTTTTCATTTCACATTAAGGAAACTTTGTAATAAAAATTTTAAAATCACTCTTAGAGATCACTTTGAGTATGATGATCATAAACTCCTTTCAGAAAAATAATTTTAGAGTTCAAGAAAGATAGAAGATTGGCAGCTCTGAAATTGAAAGTTGAAATGTCTTTTGACTTCTGATCTTTCCAGTCTTAGACAAATCCAGAAGAATGGATTTTAATGCTAATACTACTTCTAGACCTACTGGAAATTTGAACTTTTGATCAAACTGAAAACAGGATTGGTATTTTTGCTAGACCTGTTTCTGTTTTATTGTTCAAAACAAAAAGGTGTTACCCCGGATTTCTCCTACTGCTTCACCTCCCATTTCTGGGCACACTTTTTACCCTTAACAAACAAGCACGTGTGAACTTACACACTCACAGGTATATACATCCAGTGTTTCTGCAAGTTCTAATGGCTCTACCCCAAATACTTAAATCAAATGTCACTACTTCCCTTCCCCTTCATTCCACGTCCCTATTCTGAATCACAACCACCTAGCATGGTCACTCTGTTCTCACTGCGATCTCCCCACACTTCATTTGCTACACAGCAGTCTATACTAACTAGTTGTATAAATAAGGTCTGAAAACGATGGCTATAATATCAGAAATTTGTTTCTAAAAAAATGTACAGAAACTATAGAATTCCAAGTTTACACACCTAGGTGGGTGGGTCACCTGAGGTCAGGAGTTCGAGACCAGCCTGGCCAACATGGTCAAACCCTGTCTCTACTAATAAATACAAAAATTAGCTGGGCGTGGTGGCACATGCCTGTAATCCCAGCTACTTAGGAGGCTGAGGCAGGAGAATCGCCTGAATCCAGGATGTGGAAGTTGCAGTGAGCTGAGATCATCAAAACAAAAAAAAAGAAGAAAAAAATTAAAATTAAAATTACTTTTCCTTAGGTTGACTCCCTTCTGGCCAGACAAAAACAGGTAAACCTGTTTAAAATGTGCCCCTCATGACTAAGTCTTATTTCCTTCTGGAAAATCCGAAGCAAGTAACAACTAGCCTATTCTTCTACAGATCTCACTTACAGCTCAACGTATTTCCAAGATAAATGCTTTTTAAATAGGTACATATCCAAGCAGGTCCTCTTTACCCAAGCAATCATTTTAGAAATTCAGATACTCAACATTTCTCTGTATATTCTCTGAACAAAAGATGGAGGCAATGCTCTGAATAAGTCTGGCATGCTCTGGGGTTTTTGACTGCTAAATGGAATTTCCTGCATTTCAACTCCCATTAGTTTTATACAGCCAAAGATTGTTTAATTTCAGCTGAACAATTTTTGGTTTGCTTTTGAGATCCTGTGGGAGAATCCATACGGTATTTATTCAATTAAGGTTGAATGAATTTAGACGGTTGATTTTCATTACTTATTTGAGGATCTTAAGAAATCAATGTCATTTTTCAGAAAGTCAGCAGCCAGTCAGCTGGCAAAAAGGCTGACTTAATGAATAATTCACTTTATGGTTCAAACAACAGCTGCTGTTAAGTAGCCAAGCGGACGGAGAGATATCTCTTGGATACTCAAGGGAGGAAGGAAGAAAGGGAGAAGGGGAAGAAAATACCACTTTGTTTTTCTTTTTACATTTTAAAAAATGTATTTTTTAAAATAATTCCAACTTTTATTTTAGATTCAGGGAGTACATGTGCAGGATTGCTACAAGGGTATATGGCATGATGCTGCCATTTGGGGTATGACTGATTTTGTCACCCAAGTACTGAGCATAGTACCCAGTAGTTTGTCACCTCTGGCTCCCCTTCCTTCCCCCCTCACCGTGTAGTCTCCTGTGTCTACTGTTGCCATCTTTATGTCCGTGAGTACCCAATATTTAGCTTCCACTTATAAGTGAAAACATGTAGTATTTGGTTATCTGTTCCTGTATTCACTGGCTTAGGATTAGGGTCTCTAGCTGCATCCATGTTGCTGCAAAGGACATAATTTTGTTCTTTTTTATGGCTATGTAGTAGTCCATGGTGTTTATGTCTCACATTTTCTTTATCCAATCCCCCACTGATGGGCACCTGAATTGATTCCACATCTTTGCTATGAATAGTGCTGCAACGAACATACAAGTACAAGTGTCTCTTTGGTAGAACAATTTGTTTTCTTTTGGATATATACCCAGTAATGGGATTGCTGGGTAGAATGATAGTTCTGTTTTAAGTTCAAGAAATCTCTAAACTGCTTCCCACAATAGCTGAACTAACTTATATTCCCACCAACAGCGTATAAGCATTCCCTTTTCTCCACAGCCTTGCCACGACCTGTTGTTTTTTTGACTTTTAAATAATGTCCATTGTGAAAACTGGTGTGAGATAGTTAGTATCTTATTGCATTTCTCTAATGATTAGTGATAATGAGCATTTTTTTTCATATGTTTGTTGGCTACCTATGTGTGTGTATGTGTTTGTTTCTTTGTTTTGAGAAGTGTCTGCTTATGCCTTTTGCCTACTTTTTAATGGGGTTGCTTTGTTTGTTGAATTGTTTAAGTTTCTTATAGATTTTTGGATATTAGACATTTGTCAGATCATAGTTTATGAGTATTTTCTCCAATTTTGTAGGTTGTCTGGGTATTCTGTTGATAGCTTCTTTTCTTTGCCATGCAGAAGCTCTTTAATTAAGCCTAACTTATTGATTTTTTTGTTGCAATTGCTTCTGAGGACTTAGTCATAAATTCTTTCCCAAGGCTGATGTCCAGAATGGTGTTTCCTAGGTTTTCTTCTAGGATTCTTACAGTTTGAGGACTCACATTTAAATCTTTAATCCATCTTCAGTTAATTTTTATATATGGCAAAAAGTAGAGGTCCAGTTTCATTCTTCTGCATATGCCTAGCCAGTTGTCCCAGTACCATTTATTGAACAGTCCTTCTCCCCTTGCTTATTTCTGTCAACTCTGTCAACAATTAGATGGTTGTAGGTATGTGGCTTTATTTCTGAGTTCTCTAGTCTGTTGTATAGGTCTATGTGTCTGTTCTTGTACCAGTACCATGCTGTTTTGTTTACTGTAGCCGTATACTATGTTTGAAGTCAAGTAATGTGATGTTTCCAACTTTGTTCTTTTTGCTGAGGGTTGCTTTGGCTATTTGGGCTACTTTTTGGTTCCATATGAATTTTTGCATAGTTTTGTTCTAATTCTGTCAAAAATGTCATTGGTAGTTTCATAGGAATAGAGTTGAATCTGTAGATTGTTTGGGCAGTATTTGAAAATACTATTTATTCAAATCTATGAGCATGTAATGTTTCTCCCTTTGTCTGTGTTATCTGTGATTTCTTTCTGCAATATTTTTTAGTTCTCCTTGTAGAGATCTTTCACCTCCTTGGTTAGATGTATTCCTAGGGATACTGTATGTGTGGCTATTGTAGGTGAGATTTTGTTCTTGATTTGGCTCTCAGCTTGAACACATTGGTGTATAGAAATGCTAATGATTTTTGTACCTTGATTTTGTACCCCGAAACTTTACTGAAGTCATTTATCAGTTCTGGAACCTTTTGGTAGAGTCTTTAGGGTTTTCTAGGAATAGAATCATATTGTCAGTGAAGAAAAATAGTTTGACTTCTTTTTCTACTTGGATGCCTTTTATTTCTTTCTCTTGCCTGATTTCTCAGACTAGGACAATTAGTAATATCTTGAATATGAGTGCAGAGAGTGGGCATCCTTGTCTTGTTCCAGTTCTCAAGGGGAATGCTTCCAGCTTTTTCCCATTCAGTATGATATTAGGTGTGGATTTGTCATAAGTGGCTTTTATTATTTTAAAGCATGTTCCTTTGCTGTCTACTTTATTAAGGGAAAGTATCACTTTGAAAGACAGTCTTCCCATCAATAATTCACTTTGATCTCCAAAAGTTGGGCTATAATAATGTATCTGCCTATCATATATTGAGCATGGATAAAATGATCAGTACATCTTCTGTGACTCAATTAACATTCTTTAAACAATACTATTGTGTTATGGCCAACAGGACACACACATTACTAACTACACTTTCACTTAAGAAGTATCATGTAACTGGAGCAAGAAAATTCCTCTATTATCACATTGCTATTTTCTAGTCCCAGTGTACATGTAGACCCACTTACAGAAGTCTCTAATATCAAGATGAATTAACATTTTGTATTACATATTCACACAGCAAATCAGTATATATTAAGGAATGAATATTTCTTATACACTCTAACATAAGCTGCATTTACCAAGCACCATTCTTGTTATAATAGTACTCTAAAATGTTAATCTTGTTTATCACATTTCATTTGGGGTTAAAGGTGCATCTCTGATCTATCCCCTCCTATTCCTATTAGTAGTTTTAGTTTTTCACTGCATCCAGCCTCATGTATTCTCAGAAGATATTCAGAGCCCTCTGCTCTGACAAGCCTTGAAAAATGATCATGTCAGAGCAGCTGTTAATAAATTTCTGCACATCAGAATTTTTTTCCCAGTAGACTACTAATGGTCAAGTATTCAACTAGCCTTAGCCTTCAAACACCCAAGAATGAGTATTTTGATGTGTAGAATGCTTTGTCACAAATTTAGACCCTAGACTCTTCCAGAATGAATATCAGAGCATATGTTTTATACATTAAAATAGCTTTAAAATGTAAATATATAACGTATGTCTATTCTTTTTTTTTTTTTTTTTTTTTTTTGACAAAGTCTCGCTCTGTTGCCAGACTGGAGTGCAGTGGTGCAATCTTGGTTCACTGCAACCTCTGCCTCCTGGGTTCAAGCAATTCTGCCTCAGTCTCTCAAGTAGCTGGGACAACAGGTGCCCACTACCATGCCCAGATAATTTTTGTATTTTTAGTAAAGACAGGGTTTCACCATGTTGGCTAGGACGATCTCGATCGCTTGACCTCGTGATTTGCCCAAAGTGCTGGGATTACAGACGTGAGCCACCGCGCCCGGCCAATGTATGTCTATTCTAATGCACTTATTAAATAATAATGCAATGCTTTATTATTTAATGAAACATAATATGGGCAGCAGAGCGTCTGAAATAAAGTAACTACAATTTTTAAAGTCAAGTTCTTTTATTATCAACACCTTTCCACAAAGAAAAGAGAGGGTTGGAGAGGTTAACCATGGCTCAAAGGCATAGGAGCGCTAAATGACAAAACTGGAATCACATTAAGGTCTCTCTTCCTTCAGAGCTCAGAGCATTAAACGCCACACAGTCACACATTTTTCTGATCCCAGACATAGTTTTCCATTGAAACAATAAAGCATCATTTATAGAAAAAAACCATCCACCATCAATAGAGATGTGGAACTAGCAAACTGTTGGTCATTCTACTCTGAGTAAGAGTAGAATGGAAGATCAAAATCATTCTTAACTGAGAGCACTACACTCTTTCCATTATACCAAAAAAAAAAAAAAAAGAAAGAAAGAAAGAAAATCATTCTGCAAAACCATTCTCTACTTGCTTGCTGTTAATAGTCTTGTTTATTTTCCCCATTTCCCTTCATTGAAATTTGAGAAATGGCATCCTTAGAGAACTAGGCAATAGGAAGGAGAACACAGCTCTATTCATTTTTACCTTCTTCTGAGGCCCTAATAATAATATGCTGAATGTCTGGAGCCTCTACTACATAACACATGCCAAGGATACCTTTGGGTATTAATTTAATGAAGAATTGTAGTAGAAATGACAGTTGTGAATTTAAAAATCCATTTCACAGGAAGTCCTTAAAAAAGATTATTTAAGCATTTCATCCTTTAACTTTTCTAAAGTGCTTACTCACTGTACATGATGCCATTTAGTTATTAAAGTGAGTAACACAGTCTCAAACATAAAATATCTTATTGGACCCTTAATTTCACAAGACTCATGTCAATAGTTAAGTTCAATTTCAGAAGCTTTGAGGGACATCTGCAATAAGAAAGGGACTTTCCTAGACCCTGGAGGGAAGGAGGGACTCAAACACGAACGAAACCTATCCATCTCTTCAAGGAGTTATTAATATTAGTCATGACAGTAAAGCAAATATAATAATTAACTATAGTAAAAGTTATAACTTGTTAAACAGCAAAACACTAGAACTGTGCAAAAAAAAAAAAAAAAGAAAGAAAGAAAAGAAAAAAGGAGAGAGAGAAAGAGAGAGAGAGACATAAATCACCCTGAGGTGTATTACAGAATTTTTAGGGAAGATGTAATATTACTGCCAAATTCAATGAGACAGGTCAATTTTTTCCAAAAAGAAATGTGGATCTAATAATATTAGCAAACATGGGAGCAGTAAAGCACAAGATGTTTTTGGAGAAAGGAAATATTTTGTTATCAGAACATCAGTGAGCAGGAAAAGGAATCCAAGTCCTAGAAAATGTCAAGTAACTTGCCAGGGACACAGAGCTAGCATCGGGGTCAGGATTCAAACCTGATAGCCTGGGCTCTGAGTCTGTTTTTACAACTACTGCACTCAACAGTGGCGTGTTTCCCATTGCTGCTATAACAAGTTACCACTAACGCAGAGGCTGAAACAACTCTAGTCTCTTACCATACAGTTTTGGAGGTCAGAGGTTCAAAACTGGTCTCACTGAAATAAAATCAAAGTTTCCATAGGGCTGCATTTTTCTACAGGCTCTAGGGAATAATTCAATTTTTTGTTGTTGCTGTCTTTGCTTTTTTTAGCTTCTATAGGTCATTTGCATTCCTTGGCTTCCCCTATCTTCATCTCCAAAGCCAGCTGTCTAGAATCTTCAAATCTTTCTTTATTCTCTCTCTCAGTTCCGCTTTTTACTTATAAGGACCCTTGAGATCAGAGGCCCCCAACCCCAGGGCCATGGACCCGACAAGTATAGGTCCGTGGTTTGTTAGGGACCAGGCTGCACAGCAGGAGGTGAGTGGCAGGTGAGCTCCATCTGTATCTGCAGCTACTCCTCGTCACTCGTATTACCGCCTGAGCTCCACCTCCTGTCGGATCAGCGATGGCACTTGATTCTCACAGGAGCACAAAGCCTATTGTAAACTGCACATGGAGGGATCTAGGCTGCATGCTCCTTAGGAGAATCTAATGCCTGATGATCTGCCTCTGTCTCCCATCACCCACCGATGGGACTGTCTAGTTGAGATAAAGTGCACAATAAATGCAATGTGTTTGAATCATCCCCAAACCATCCCTCCCTCGCCCCGTCCACGGAAAAACTGTCTTTCACAAAATCGGTCTCTGGTGCCATAAAGGTTAGGGACCACTGCTGGAGATTACAGCAGGCCCACTAGATCAATCCAGGATAAACTGTCCATCTTAAAGGAACTGATAAGAAAATTTAATTCCTTCTGCAAACTTCCTTCCCCTTAGCCATGTAAGTAACAGAGTCACAGGTTCTGGGAAATAGGATGTGGACATCATCGGTCAGGGGGTCAGGGGAGGGAAAGGTTTCATTCTTCCTACTACAAACAACATATTTAATTTGGTTGGAGTGAAGAGATAGAGTGGAAGCTGAAGCCAGAAAGAAAAGTTATAGAGAGTATTGAATATTAATGTTTTTTTAATTTAAACAATGAGAGGCTTCCCCATCCCCTATTATTAAATCTACATTTTCGAAGATTACTCACTCAGGCAGTGACATCTAGAATTAGGTAGAGGAGGAGATGATTGGAGGCAGGGGATTCCATGAGGAATCAGCAGATTCAACTGAGCTGCTTTGAGAAAATTCTCTGTTATGCCACAACCAATTCATAATGATGTTAACAGTGATTTCAATATTGGAAGCATTCTGCTTGATCCATTGCTATCCTTAATCAACGGGCAAAGGGAATTTGAGCAGGATGCAGCATTGGGTCCAATTTGAATCCATGTTGTCTTGCATGGTCTTGTCCAAAATTATAACAGGGGATTTGGAAGCGGGTGTGAAAATATATTTCCAGTCCTCTGGAAACCTTTTTCAACTTAACAGAGAACAGCATAATATAAATCCTTCATATCTGATTGGAGTGAACTGGGGGCTTTGTCACACTGAATGAAAGTAGTTTGTTGGAGTTAGATACGGGCTCTTCTCACTCCACAAGACTCAGTTAATTCGCTGCTATCCAGAGGCAATTGAACTGACTCTAAGCATATGAGTGTACTTGGGAAGCACAGACAAGATAACATGGAAACACTGTGGAGTCCTCTGTGGATCTGATGAGCCCACAGACAATTCAGGTCACATAACAAACCACTCTCAGCCAAGGATTTCACTAGAACCACAAGGCTAAAAGCCATCCTCCATTCCATCTGGGCTGTACAAGGAAGAATAAAAAACCAAGGCCAAGAGAACTGAATTCAGGCCAGCCCGGCCTTGGCAAAGCAGATCCTCAGTGAGTGTTGCCAGGATGGTATCCAATTCCAAACAAATTGAAGGTTTGCAGGACAGGAAGAATACCTAATCACCAGCAGGACTGCATGACTTTGGTCTGCTACAAGCACGTCAAGATTTTTTAAATTGTCTCAAGGGACTCCCTTGTTAAACCACCTGAGACACTGACAAAAAGACAGACTCCTCAATGAGGAGCCACATTACAGTTACTAGGTCAGCAAAAGAAGCCTTTAAAGGGCCAAGAAATCTACAAGTGCTCTTGTATTTATCTGGGCAGAAATATGAACATGTTAAATTAAGTTTGGCATAAAGCTGACTCTTTACATATTTTAAAGGTTTCTTCATACATAATGAACTGTAACCTAACTGGATGTTTAAACAGACTGTAAGCTACTCTTGGGCCGGTCACTGAGTTTTGGCCAATCAAAGGTGGCCAACTGTTCAAACCAGCTTCAAACAAGGCAAACGGAAAGCAGTAACCAATGCTTCTGTTTCTTTTTTTGTTTTGTTTTGTTTTGTTTGAGATGGAGTTTCGCTCTTGTTGCCCCGGCTGGAGTGCAGTGGCGCAATTTCAGCTCACTGCAACCTCCGCCTTCCGGGTTCAAACACTTCTCCTGCCTCAGCCTCCCGAGTGGCTGGGATTACAGGTGCCCACCACCACACCTGGCTATTTTTTTGTATTTTTAGTAGAAACGGGGTTTCATCATGTTGGCCAGGCTGGTCTCGAACTCCTGACCTCAGGTGATCTGCCCTCCTTGGCCTCCCAAAGTGCTGGGATTACAGGCGTGAGCCACCATACCCGGCCACCAATGCTTCTATTTCTTTACCTTACTTCCGTTTTCTGTACGTCACTTTCCTTTCTCTGCCCATTAGTCTTCTTCAGTCACATGGTAGCCCTGGAGTTTCTGAAACCTATTCATTTTCAGGGACTGCCCAATTCACCAGTGGTTCTTTGTTCAATTAAACTCTGTCAATTTAATTTGCCTGAGGTTTTTCTTTTAACAAACATGAACTTCACTAAACCCTACAACAATATGAATGCAGACATCTTTTTTTTTTTTTGAAAAGTTACCAACCACACGAGTTAACAGACAAGGAAACATACATTCCAAATATATAATATCTGGCATATCCATGTGAATTCATATATACTCTGAAGATTTTCATGTCAGAAGTTGGAGGGAAAAAAAAGCAGATTCTTAATCTGCACCTTATTTGCATTTTTTAAATACAGAAGCCGATGGGATGGCTTCTCAGTGGGATTATACCTTTCACTTCTCTATTCTTCGGGAGAATATTTACTACCATCAGACTGCAAGAAAACTCGAGAAATTCTGCACCTACCGGAAAGCATACCAAAGTGATTTCAGGTTCATGAGAACATTGCAGTTATAATCTAAAATTCTTCAAATCGTTATGAAATTTGTGGCCGTTTCTGCATCATCGCTACGGGAAAGTAAAAATTAGCCCACGAGTTTTTAGAGGAAAGTAGTAAGAATTAATACCAAGCCATTTTAATGGTGCAAAGGCGACATTCTATCAAATATGGCAAGTGATGTTCCCAACAAACAATGCATAGCAAAAGTCCATTTCCTCCAAAATGAAACACAAATCACCTTTATTATTACCTGCTCATTCAAGTAGACAAGTCACTGAAATAGCCCATTTTCTTAGGATGGGTCAGTTTGATTTAATAGATCTAAAAGGACAAGATGAGACTGTTCCTACTTGAAGTATTTCTTTAGAAGGCTGTTCCTACTTCTTTAGAGACTGTTCCTACTTGAAGTATTTCTTTAGGGTACAAGGGAAAAGGGAAAAATATTCAGCAAAGTGTGTGAAGAAAGCCAGTGGCCCAGGGAGCTTCGTGTGGTCTAATGTTTTACAACGCACAGCAATTTTGTGCTTCAACAGGTCTTGACCAATAAATTAAAGCCATGCCATTAGTATATGGTTATGCTTATGTGCTAAAGCACTTTATGGGATGAATTTTACATAATGTCTTCTCAATTAAAGAATTTTCACTCTGCAAAGGTGTGGTCTTGTTTCTGGGAGAAATATAGTGAAGACATAAAACTCCTTACATTAGAAGCATAGAATATTCACCCAATACCTAAAGTAGATTATACAGAACATTACAGAAATGCTTAAATTTAGCATCTATTACTGTAAAGATACATGTGTATACTGAAAAAATCCTAATGTTACAGAACACTTATAAGAAAAAAAAAAAGTTCTATCAAATCAGCAAACAGCAAAAGTTGGCTAAATCTGGATTATTCAATAATCGTGGGTTAACTCCATACTTCAGCTCCAGAATCCTCCTCTGTGAAAATGTTCAGCCTACGTTTGATCTTCAGCCACTCTAATGGCAAGTGTATAAGGATGGAGAGGAAGCTGAACAAAATTATTATAACTTCTCTAAGTAAG
Source organism: Homo sapiens (assembly GCF_000001405.40). NCBI lineage: Eukaryota > Metazoa > Chordata > Mammalia > Primates > Hominidae > Homo > Homo sapiens. Next base: position 19,943,046 of record NC_000010.11, on the reverse strand, counting down.
TGCATGACAAAGAGACTTTTTAAAGTGGTGAGATTACAATTAGTGGCTAAAATGCTGCTTTTGAATTAACTGGAGGCATAATTATTCATAATATACATCTCCTTGTTATTACAAATAGCTGCTTGATTTTCCCCTACAAATATTTAAATGAACATTTCGTCAACTAAGGATAAAACGATATAATATACACCAGAAAGTAGATTTGACTTTTCTTTCGAGTATTTTTTGAAGAACCCAATTATTTGTTTCGGTTTTTTGGTTTTGTTTTCTTTTTTGTTTTGAGACAGGGTCTTGCTCTATCACTCAGGTTGGAGTACAGTGGTGCCATCTCCGCTCACTGCAACTACCTCCGCCTCCCAGGTTCAAGGGATTCTCCTGCTTCAGCCACCTGAATAGCTGGAATTACAGGCACACGCCACCATGCCCGGCTAATTATTTTGTATTTTTGGTCGAGACGGGTTTCACCGTGTTGGCCAAGGTGGTCTTGAACTCCTGACCTCAAGTGATCCACTTGCCTTGACCTCCCAAAGTGCTGGGATTATAGGAATGAGCCACCATGCCTGGCCCAATTAGATTTAATGAGAAATGTTTTGAGTCATGTAAGATAGTACATAGTAACTACAGAACTTGCCTATCATAAGAGAAATGTATGAAATTATTAAATGCAACCTCCATAAGATAGTGTACTTAAAATTATTAGGGGAAACAATAACCACAAAATACCAGACAGATAAATATCCTGTCTTTTTAGTATAGTAGAAGGGATTATGTTGCACTATTTAGCACACTATATGGTAGTCAACAGCTTTTACCATCTGGACAATCTTTTCTTTTCAACTGCATCTCTAATATTTTAGTTTAAGTCCATTTAATCTTACTGTGGTCTTTGGAAAAGATAGAGAATGACTGCAAAATTACCACTATCTTTACAAAATAGTCACTGTAGATAGTTAAATAAATCTTCCCCTTAGTTCAAGATAAATAATACTTGGGCTTTCTGCTTCTGTGTCCAACTCTTCAGTCATGTTAAAAAGCTCCACTCCAAAACCAAAGTTCTTTTTTTTTTTTTTTTCTCTAAATGTCAAAGGCTGGAAACAAACACAATACAAAACGGGTTTGATTAGGAAATAGGTGTACCTCATCTTATGAAAAAAATTAAAAAATACTGAATAGCTCGCTGAGATAAAATGAGAAGAGCTATGTGAAACAATCCACAGTACATAATGAGAACTCAACACGTTAGCAGAGTCAAAAGGTATGAAGTGAAGGGGGAGAAAAGAGAAAGAAGGAAAAGAAAACCTATGGCCATGTTCATTTCCATGAGTGAAGGGTAGTTCTTTGTACTTTCAGTAGTCACAAAAGGCATTCTTCTCCCTTCTGTAAAGATCTTCAAAAGGATAAACACGGATTAGGCATTATTTAAAGTGACAGACCCCCTTTGAACTGGCTTAAGAGAGAAAGAGAACAAAATGATGAATTCCTAAAAAAGGTTCAGTGGTGTGCTAAATAGTCAATACTGCTGGTTCCTGCAAGTGACTGCACCCAGACCTTGGAAGCCAGCAATGTGCCAACAAAATGCTCTGCCCATCATATCTTGCTGTGAAACGACCAGCTGCATCTCCTCCAAGAGCTACAGGATGCCACCAAGGACACCTGCATTCAGTGGGAAAGGACAGTCATATGACACTAACTTTCTGTCACAATTCCCAGGTCCAAGAGAGAGGGCTCTGATTGGCCCGTCTTGGTTCAGGGATCCATGTGTGGGAGGGTAGCATCATGATAAGAACACATTATCTCTACAAAGTGAAAATACATAGCAGACTCACACGGTACTGCCTTTTGCACATCCAGTTACTTGAAAATGTCTATTCTCTGGGAAGTGTCTTTGGAAGTTTCCATGACTAGGAATCAGAAGCATTTATCCTTGAGATAAAATGAAACAGAGGCATGGGAAATTCCACTAGGGATGAAGAATTCTTTCATGGCATAGCTGTGTAAATTTAATCAAATCCTATTTGAATTCTGCTTTTATTAGTTTATTTACTTACAAAATTAAAGAACTAATCTCTTCTCACCCTGAAATTCTTTAGGTCTGCAAGTAAATGATTCTAGCAGTCTACTTCCTGTGTGATGGCAGCTTCAGAAACCAAACAAGATAATTATTTAAATGTTAAACACACCCCACAGCTCAGAGATAGCTCAAATTAGGAATATCCAACATTTACAAGTACAATTAGAAGAATTATTAATAACTACTCTGACAGAATTCCTTCTCATGAAATATTTAATTCTACTGCTTCTCTGTCTCATAAATTCTTTTCAAATATCAAAAGTACCAAAATGTCTCAAATTCTTCTACTAAGAATTTGATAATAATAGGTGGTTGGCATGTATTCTTTTATTTCTTGTTATTCAAGGAGACAATGATGATTTATTTTCAGAAAGTTGTTTTAGAAATGGTTGAACATCCAAGAAAAATTGTTTGTTTTTTTTTTTTTGCACAATCAAATAAGCTTTAATAAGTAATGAGATGTGCTCAGACCTACCCAAGTAAAACATACAATGAAGGAATGACCTGTCTTAGGAAATTCAAATAATTCAAAAAAATACTTATTCCATTACTCTTCAATTAATTGTAGCCAAATTCAGATTTATTTTAAAGGTATAAATCATGCAAATGGTTTCTTTGATTCTATATATCATTCTGAATGTTAACGTGCATTTAAAACTTCCTAGCAGATTTAAAAAATTTTTTTTATTAGAGTATATATTTCCATGTTCTAGGCATCTTCGTACAAATCACATGACTATGTTCAAGGTTCTTCACTATATTTTAAATAAAGTAAATTCTCCCAGAATGTAGAATTAGTATGACATTAAATCACGTTATTTCTCTACCTTCCATTTCCAGCACATGAATTTGCCCAATGATAAGACCCTCTAGTCTTGAGATTCTTTCGCATGACTATATTAAATCACCTAAACTCTTTGAAATTACTAAAAATTTGAATTTATTCAAGCAACCAGCTTAAACATCCATGTAAATAGACATATTATATAAAAAGCCAACCATACCAATGGAATTCGTTCCCTTCTTTGACATCTCAACTCCAAATATAAACAACTTTCAGATTTTATAAGCTATATAGGTGGAAAATTAGAATTCTCTTCTGCTCATAATTCAAAAACATCCCTATTTTCTGTTATTTATGCCATATTTGTCACATGTCATCCAACAAAAGTCTGGAGTAGAACCCTACAAATAATGGCTCTTTTTCAGCCACTGTGTTCCATTTTCCTTTCCACACATCATTATATGAAGGAAGTTCTTTCCTTTAATGTATGCTTTCTTTGGATAGGTACAAATACATCATCACATGACATTTTTCCAAAGGGAGAAAAAGGAAGAGGGAAAAATTTTCAGCCCTTTTAAATCCTACTTTCTGTGAGCTTTCAGTTACAAAATCTTGCATATAACTTGGAAATGGAAGTTTAAACGTGTAGCTAGATAAATCCTAGAGCTGCTATACAGTTCTCTTTTTTTTTGGCATCTTGGAGAAATCATGTCCCTAAACCCTAATTTGATGTAATTTAACTATCATTGAGAAAACCCTAACCAGGGTTGTCCCTTATTGGCAGATATAACTCCCTGAGATTCTTTCTTTTAAAGCAATATTTTCTTTAGATTTTTCTCCATTTCCAGAGGGGGTGTAATCTGTTCCCCCAACTCAATCTGTAGCCAAGATCACTGCTAATGTTGCTTTACATTGTTAAAGTCCTATTGCATCTTAGCCTAGAAATGGCTGTTTCATTAATTTATGAAGCACAACACAGATATCCCAGAGGGGACATTCAGATGTGTTAATCGATTACTTTGTATTATTCAACAAATTTGCACCTGTTTATCCCTTATTTATCTTTATTTCATTTGAGCCTTCTCAGCCACTGGTGCATAAAACCTTGAAATATTTTTGGATTCCACTCTTTGATTACAGGATATTACTCCCTCATCGTTATATACAACTGGCTCTGAAGTTCAGAAAATTCTATCTCAGTTTTTTTTCATGCCCACTCTATCCTTGTCATCCATTCATTCTTACTGCCAGTTCTTCAGTTAGGAACATCATTACATTTTTTTCTGGACTACTGCAACAGACTACTTACAGATTGTTTGGTTTCTGTTTCTTCCTGCTCCAATTAATTTTGCACACAACTGCCAGTTTAATCTTCCTCTGACCCAACTCTAATTACAACACTGTTGATAATCAGCCTTCATGTACTGCTGATTGCTTACCCAGGAGAGCCCATCTCTGAAGTTACATTTCAAGACTATCCACAACTTGATCTCACTATCTGATATGGTTTGGATCTGTGCCTCTGCCCAAATCTCAAGTCAAATTGTAATACCCACATTGGAGGTAGGACCTGGTGGGAGGTGATTGGATCACAGGGACTGATTTCCCTGTTGGTGCTGTTCTCATGATGGTGAGTGAGTTCTAGTGAGATCTGGCTGTTCAAATTGTATAGCCCCCCGCCAAACTCTCTCTCAGTCCTGCTCCTGCCGTGTAAGATGTCTGCTCCCACTTTGCCTTCCACCATCAGTAAACCTCCCTGAGGCCTACCCAGAAACAAATACTGCCATGCTTCCTGTACAGCGTGGAGAACCATGAGTCAATGAAACCTCTTTTCTTTATAAATTAGCCAGTCTTAGGTATTTATAACAATATGAGAATGGCCTAATACACTACCTTTCCAATTTTATCTTCCTATGGTACCAGGTCACTGAAACTCTTGCTTGTGAGAGATCAGACTCCTGCCATGGTAACCACTGAATGCTTATGCTTGAGTTAGAGCCTCAAGCCTCCCCACTGTGCTAGGGGATTATGCAAATTATGCCAAGGTAAGATAACCAACATTTCCTGTATGTAATGTATACAATCTTGTGCCTATGGACATAGTGCTTGAAAATCAAGAGGGCTAGCGATGCCACCAAGCAAATAGAGGTTATGAGTTTTTATAACCACTGAGAAGTCAAATGCAGAAGCATCCAGGGCTGAAGGAAAATGTGTTAGCTATTGTTACCCTGTGCCTAAAGCCATGATTACCACTGATATCAGACAAAGTCAACACCAAGCCAACTAAGTGGGGTACGAGTTCTCCTAAAGGTGTTCTGAAGACAGGATAGTGACCAAGGACTGGACGTTGCCTCCTTCTCTGCCTCTTTCTCATATGTCCATCTGACCAGGAACCCTTCCTCATCTAGAAAGAAATTCTGTTTAGATGAACCTGCCCAGAGATGGCCCACCCTGCCACAGAGTGTGGCAAGAAACCTCCATTATCCCTGTCCTTGTGTTTCCTTGTTTTTCTGAGTTACATTCCAGCCATCTATTGGCACGCCAGAAAAGTTATGTTGGGACAATATTCTGATGAAAAATACAGCCTCTGTCCTCATAGAAGTTGCAAATATATATATATATATATATATATATATATATATATATACATTGACTATAATGTGATATGTATTCCAGTAACATTAAGTTCCTATAACCATGGGAACACAGATGAGGGAACAATTCATTCTGCTGTGGATGAAGTTGCCAGCAGGGGTTAGGAAAGAAGGAAGTGAAGAATGAAGAGGTATCTTGTAAACCAGCCCTTAAAATTGAGTACAGGTGACCCAGGAAGATGCTCTGCAGAGACCAAAACCCTGGCATATTCCGATTGAGGGCAGACCAAGCAAAGGTCTGGAAATGATCACAAAGATGTGGGACTAAGACCATCCATGACATGCGAAAGATGACTACATTTAATTTCTGGGCATCAGGAGCCATTAATTTGTCCCACATGCAGATTAATGTAACACTTTGAAAAACATAATCCTGGAGATCATTGTGGAGGATGAACTGAAGGAATGGAGGATCAAAGGAAATCAGGATAGTTTTAGGTAAGAAATGTTGAGGGTCGGGTCTAAGTCTCAATGTCATTGGAGAGCAAGGAACACATGCAAGAGACATTTACAAAGTCAATAGGAACATCAAACATCTAAATTGAAAAGATAAAAAGTGCTGAGATGAGCTCTCGATATCTGCCAATATCTGGAATATTTTAGAAGACCATCATTGTATCAGAATAGGATATTATGTAACAGCCATCTTGCTAAGCAGTTCATATATGAAGTATCTCTGGATGTTTCCATATCCTCAATGCAGATGAGGAAACAGAGGCTTGGAGATATCAAGTTAATTGCCATTGAGATCCAACCCTGTCACATTCTAAGGCAAATGATCGTGGTGGGAGGCACATAATTTGTGACATTTGACAATTTCCTTGGCGTAAATACTCCACCATGGACTATTTCAAGTTACCAACAATACATCACGGCATGAATAGTTGGGATGATATGTGCACAATGAGATCAGTTCTCATAAGCTGGTGTGAGCCCGCCCCAGTGCACCAGTAGATAAAGCTCACAAACATGTTGTCAGGCATTATATAAAGCAGAGGCTGGCAAATTATGATCCATGAGCCAACTCCAGCCATCACCTGTTTTTGTAAATAAAGCTTTATTGGAACACAGCCATGCCCATTTATTTTGCTATGGTCTGGTGCTACTTTTGCAGTGCAGTGTCAGATTTGACTAGTAGCAACAGAGTCTCTATAGCCTCTAAAGCCTAAAATATTTACCATCTGTCTCTTTACAGAAAACATTTGCCAACCCCTGACATAAAGCATAAAGCAGACAAAACCAATCTATCCTATTGGAATTCATGGTGATAGAGACCCTGAGAGAGGTGAGATGAGTGGGGAGTTTCCAGAGCAGAGTACACAGGACTTCTGGAGTCCCATTAAAATCCTGCTTCTTAAATCTGGGTTCTGGTTACCCAGTGAAAATATATCAAGCTTACAATTGGAATTTGTAATTTTTCTATATGCAAATTAGACTTCAATAAAAATTTTGTTAAAAAGAAATCAAGACACCCCATGAGCAAATTTATACATTTTGTTTCTCAACGATTTCAAATTTTTGTTTTAATATCAAAATAGCACTAAGAACTAAGACATGTTTGTCTGTTGGATTTACAACAGATGCTGATGAATTCTTTAGATATCTACTAGGAATAGCAGTAACAGGATCTAGCTATTGGATGGATGAGATTCTGGCCCACACTTTTCTTCTGATGGTTGTACTAGAATGTTCACTTCTTTAGTCTGCCGGCAAAGTTGTCATGGTTATAACTTCACTGTCCTAAAATGTGCTTTTGAATACTAATTCCTTTCAGTGGCATTTATGACTCTGTTTATGGGTTTGCTGCACTTCCTTGGGGAGGTGACACTTCATTGTCATTATTGTGAACAGGACTTTAAAACATAGGAGGCAGGTCAATGCATCAGTGTTAACATTCTCTTGGGTGACTGAGTTCTCTTGGATGCTGAGCCAAGCATCTCTTTGCCTCTTGCTAACCACTGATGGGAATAGCCAGATGTGTGCATTGCAGCCAAAGAGGAAGTGGTGGCACGTCCAGCCTGAGCTCCCAGGTGTGCTTCCTGGACATATGCACCTCCTCTGGCCAACTCTCACAGCCCATATTTCTCTCTAAGATGAAAGGTGAGGAGCTGGAGCTCATGCATCCTTGGGTTCTTCCATGGGCCAGGTTGCAGTATGGCAAATTTCCAGAGTGCAGATTATTTCCCTCACTCCAGGCCCACACCACCTGTCAGCTGTCAGGGCAATGCCTGGCTGTGCCTCTCTTGCAGCTGGCCAGCCTGTTACTCAAAGCCAGGCGCAGAAGCACGTGGCTGATGGTGGAGCATCTGAGGAGACTACTGGTCTTATCAAAGAGCATTAGGTCCCCACTGTCAGCCTCCACCACCCGTGAACTCCAAGGAAGGGCCAGACCAGGTTGTGTGTGCAGTAGTTGCAAAGAGGCTAAAAGCCCCCACAGATAAATGATCAATGATTTGATGAGCAGAACAATGAATTTCTGACTCTTCTACGAAATTTTCAAGGGGAGCATATGTCCTTTTTCTGGAAAAGGGGCAGCCCTGGGGCATTATCAAGGCCGGCATTGATGCTGAAATACTGTGGACCCTACAAGTCAACACATCTCCTGAGATACATGAGAGATATTTCTTTGAATATTTTTTTACTAAAAAGCCAGTGAAAGGGTCTGTTTCACCTTAGTGAAAGAAACACAAAAGGAACAGGTCTTGATGAAGACCCTATCATTATAGATGATTAGATGGCTCTTATACAAGCTCAGGGAACCCCTGAAGAAACAGTCTAGAACGCAAACTAGTTAGGCACTGCATTGGATAGGAAGCACTGCTAAACTAGAACACTGTGTTTATTTTAATCAACTATACCACAATATGGAAAAAGAAGTAGAAGCTATGCCCATAATCTTTCTTTCGCCACCAAAACACCTCAGCAAATTATAGGCGAATTTGATTAGGAGATTGAATGGAGTCGGGCCAAGACTATTAACAAGACTTACCATTGCTTGCCATCAAGGTGACCAATGTAATGATCGCAATAGGAAACCTCACACTGGTGCACTTACGTTGGGTCTGAAACTATCAACCTTATGCAGAAGGTGGCATCTCTCTTGTTGTTCTATTGTTCAAAGGTATGAATGTGGTCATTACACGGAAGTACCAAGATCTTGTTTTATATTAGCTTCTTCCTTTCCTTTGGTCTAAAAAAGGACCTGAGAAATCCTCAAAGTAATTTTAACTTTTCAACTCTTTACTTATCATTTCTTTCTCAAGAATGGTCATGAGCATTATGGAAGATTGCAATTTGCTAAATTAATAAAGGTATTAGAAATACAGATTCTAAATAACTTTAGGACCCATTGTGTAATGCAAGTAAATCAATGGAATATCTACCACGACAGACTACAGTGATTGTATAAGGTAATGAAGTGGTATCCCAATGATCACGCATTTTATCTAGCTCTTCTTTTCAGACTTAAAATTGGAAGAAAAAGTAAGGAATGAGAGAGATTAATAGGACTTTGCAATTATTATTTAATATTCTACAAAACAAGAAGAATTGACAAAAAGGAAAAAATGATTGCTCAAAGTAATTTCATTTGATATCTTCCTTCCTTCTGTCCTTCCTTCCTTTCTCTTTCCTTTCTTTCTCTTTCCTTCCTTTTTTCCCTCCCTCCCACCCTCCCTTTCCTTCCTTCCTTCCTCCCCTCCTTCCTTCCTTCCCTCCTTCCTTTTTTCCCTCCCTCCTGCCCTCCCTCTCCCCGCTTCCTTCCTTCCATACTTTATCTTCCTTTTCAGTGGAAAATGAAAGAACTTATCTTTTCCTTTCAAACATAATCCTCACCTTTGTGTGTGTGTGTGTGCACGCGTGTGTGTTTGTGTGTGTTTTGTTTGTTGTTTTTGTTTTTGTTTTTTGAGACTGAGTCTCACTCTGTCACCCAGACTGGAGGTCAGTGGCTCAATCTCGGCTCACTGCAACCTCTACCTCCAGGGTTCAAGCAATTCTCTGCCTCAGCCTGCCGAGTAGCTGGGATGATAGGTGCCCACCATCATGCCCAGCTAATTTTTGTATTTTTACGAGAGATGGGGTTTCACCATCTTGGCCAGGCTGGTCTCGAACTCCTGACCTCGTGATCCACCCACCTCAGCCTCCCAACGTGCTGGAATTACAGGCATGAGCCACCATGTGTATATGTGTTTTAACTGCTCTAATTGGTGATTTGGGTAGACCTAAAATAAAAAGCTGTAGTTGAAATTAACTTTTCTATTTCCACAGTAAATGATCTAGGCCAAAATTTAATATTACAAAAGATACTATAAAATGTCTTTAAGAAAAAGAGGAAACAGAAAAGAATAACGAATAATTTTGCTGACGTAGAACCTTTGCTTGACAGGAGTTAAGTAGTTTCCCAAAGATCTCCAAGTACCAAGTGAGTTACCCAGAAGTCTAACCCAGGCCTAACTAACAACACTTGCATGCTTGGTACCGTGCTTGTTTGTTTGACACTGATTTTCTTCTGTTGTCAAAATATTACCTAACCTCTCTTTGGCAAAGGGAAATTTTATGTGTGGCAGCAAGAGTGTCCTAGATAAAAGGACTAATACAAAAGGTAACTGAACATGCCAAATCCCGTCCCCTGTTCTCCAGATCCCTTTCTACTTGACCCAAAGTCATGAACTTCATTCTGTATATCTCAAAGGCGACATACTACCTAAATGGAGCACAACAAATTCAGAAGAACATTTGGTTTGGAAAGTGTCGTGTTCAAACATGCTCAGAAAGAATGTGGTTTTTTTAATTCCCATAACATTCTGACTTTAGCTTCTGCAACTAAAACCTCCAATATGAGATATGAGGATAATCGATCCAAAGATTATGATTTACTTAAAAGTCATTTTGCATGGAGAGCTATCTTTTGCTCTCCTTCCATTGCCAGTACATATGGTTGGTGTCTTGCTTTGCAGAAGAAAACATAATCCCAAAGTGAGAAAATCAAAAATAAAGAGAAATCATAAAACGCTGTATAGTGTGTGAAACAAATAAACATAAATGAAGGATGCTGAAGGCAGGTCTATGAAAGTGCATGTTTATTTTAATACGTGCTGAAAGATATTTCAAGCCTTGTCACCCTGATAACTCCAGTGGGCTGACTGAATGGTCCTGGTATATAGAAAGGAAAGGCTGGAAGGGAAGATAAGTTCAAGATCAGAAAAGCCACATGTGTGCCAAGAGAAAAGAAAGTGGAGGGATTGTGGAGAAGGATGAGAAAAAAATAAATAGAGGAGTGAAAAAAATAGACCCTTTGGAAGAATTGATAAATAAATTAGGAGTAGGAATAACACCAGCAATTGAGCTGGTTTCTGGTACTTTGTCAACATTTCGACAAAAATAGCGAACACTATGTCATCATGACTGCAACAATGCAGGAAGGGATGTTGACCTAGGACCTACTGGGACTGACAGGTTATTTGAACAGCATGTGATACACAGTATCAAAAAGCTGTTTATACAGTCATGCAAGTTCTTCAGGCAGGAAGTTTTTATAAGATTTCATTATTTAGCTTAAACACACACACACACACACACACACACACTTCCCAAATTAGAAGATATTTCCTGTTTTGAAATTCAACTTCATTAAGTATATTTCCTGAATTTTTCATCCTTGAAGCTCCAATAATATTTTTTATGTGACCATGTGATTCTTCATTCACAGAAAGAGGGAATGTGGAGACAAGCCTGAAACTGCTCTGTATGGCAGGGAGGGTGAGTCAGATAGAGGCACAGATGATCTGCCTTTTCCTCCTGCCAAACCAGCTGATGCTCCTGTGGGGCAGGAAGGCAGTGACAACATTGATAAACAAGCTGGTGAAGTTCAATCTGGAACTCTGCAGAGCGTAGCGGCCTGAAAATATATCTCACCCCACTTTAAATCTATCAAATATACATAAGGCCAAACCTAGGGGGCGGTGATCATTACTGGCATTAGAAGGAGAGTCTTCCCTTTCAAAAAAGATTTGCTGAAGGATTCCTTTAAATAGCGAGCCCACTGGAGCATTTAAAATACCTTTTCAAATGATTTACATGCACCTTTTAAATCATACACTCACAGTGAGCTAGTTGCTGAATCATGTGCACCTGTAAAACAGCTGTTGGGCTGAAGCTTAAGGACGGTCATTAAAAACAGCTTGGCTCACAGCCTGGGTCTTAGGCAGATCAGCGCCTCCACACAGCATTCAGAGGTGAGAGTGGAAAGAAGGAGTGCACACTGGAAGCTGAAAAGGAGAAAACTTGCCAAGCTGGCCCGTCCTCAGGACTTCTGAAGAGTCCAAGTTCAGCTCACAAAGGAAAACCGATCATGCCTTGAAAACCTTTTTCCTGCCATGCATTTGTACTCTTCATCTATCCAAAGTCATCTAACTAACCAGACAAGCTCTCCTTCCCATGGGTGTTTGCGGGTTGCAGAAGACAACACTGGCTGCTCTGAATCCCATCATTCAGCAAACAAAAGCACACCGTCTTTTCTTTCTTTCCATCTTTCTTTCTCTCCACTTTCTTTCTCTCTCTCTCTCTTTCTTTCTTTTCAGCGGAGTCTCTCTCTGTCGCCCAGGCTGGAGTGCAGTGGTGTGATCTTGGTTCACTGCAACCTCTGCCTTCTGGGTTCAAGTGATTCTCATGTCTCCAGCCTCCCGAGTAGCTGGGATTGCAAGCACCTGCAACCAGGCCTGGCTAATTTTTGTAGTTTTAGTAGAGATGGGATTTCACCTTGTTGGTCAGGCTGGCCTTGAACTCCCAACCTCAGGTGACCCACCCACCTCGGCCTCCCAAAGTGCTGGGATTTACAGGTGTGAGCCACCGTGCCAGCCTTTTTTTTATTTTTTATTTATTTATTTTTTAAACAGGCTCTGTTTTAGGTGGTTTAGCAATCTTCCAAATTGAGCTGACATATTTTCCAAAATCAGTATACCCTTCTGTTTATCACAGAGCAAGTATTATTGTTCTGGTCTTCCTATGTATGTAGAACAGGCCCAGTATGCCTGAAATAAAAATTCTGAGTACAAATATCAGCTTCATTGCATTTCATTGATAAGAGTCAACATATCCTTTAAGTCAGCAAATATTTCTCTTGACAACCATGAATTATGCTAAGATCACAAAGCTAAAGACCTTATTAGCGGTTTGCAGAGAGCTCAAGTGGAAAAAACCAACCCGGCTGTTTCTGGAAAAAAGGAAGTTTCTATCCTTCTATAAATCAATAAATGTTTGCTACTGAAGTTCTACTGTTTCCAACTGAGACATATCATCCTCATTTTTAAATTGATTTCGGTCAGTTTCTTAATGAAATAATCTCCTAAAATGGAATTTTAGAATTTGGGCCTAAGAAGAGTATAATGCCTGCTGTGTAAATGACATTAAGGGAATTTGGGCAACTTAAAATTTATCTGAAAACAGAAAAAAAGAAAAAATGTGGGCTGGAGCAATGAAATTCTAGGGAGGAAAAAAAAATGAATAAATGAGCATCTATGCTCTTCTGAGAGCACTAAAAGATGTTCAAATGACACATCCTCCAGGACGGAGGAGAAATTTTCCTTCTGGATTGTGCAAGCAGACCAAGGAAACTTAGCACCACAGTGCTTTCAGAATAACAGGCACTACCACAGTTCCACCTACAAAGTGATTTTCTGGAACTGAATATGGACAGTGTGAAATGAATGTGGGGAGCATTAACATAAAATTACAACAGAAACTATTCTCTTGTCCTTTACCTTGGGACATGCAACCAACAGGCAGTTTTTTTGTATCAGTGGTTATATTTCAGAGTGCCTGGATGGAAACGCAGCTTTGTTTTATTTTTTTCTTCCTGACTCATAGCTTTGTGCTAGTCATTGCTTAGACTCTGATCCTGTACAAGAGAGAAAAAATTGATCTCAATCCTGTGTGTGTTGGCACGTGTACAAATAGCTTCCAAGTCAGAAGGAAAGAGATCCAAGGGCACTTTAGAACATGATTTTTAAAAGATTTACTGTTAAAACATTTATTTGTCAGTCAGTTGTTAAAAGGTGTGGACAAATTTCCACAAAGAAATGGAGATTCTCTTGACAATCTATTTAACCTTTCACGTTGCTGAAACAGAACCTAATTACTCCACGTGCAGAAAGGAAATTTTGAAACCACTGGGGGCTTAGGCTGACTCTCCAAGATAGAAATCTGAGGGTTGGGTATGAATCAAGGGGTCTCTCTGGTCCCATTTGAGTTCCCCAGTAAAAAACTGCTACCCTCTAGAGAGTGGGTTCTTTTCGTTGTTGTTGTTATTTATTTTTTTTTTCTTTTAGTAGAGCAGGGTTTCACCACATTGGCCAGGCTGGTGTTGAACTCCTGACCTCATGCAATCCGCCCACCTCAGCCTCCCAAAGTGCTGGGATTAGAGGCGTGAGCCAACCACCATGCCCAGCCAAGAATGGGTTCTTTTTAGAATGATAAAAAGCCCTATCGTCTGGGCATGGTGGCTCACATCTGTAATCTCAGCACTTTGGGAGGCCGAAGTGGGCGAATCAGCTGAGGTCAGGAGTTCGAGACAAGCCTGGTCAACATGGTGAAACTCCATCTCTACTAAAAACACAAAAATTAGCTGGACATGGTGGCACACGCCTGTAATCCAAGCTATTTGGGAGGCTGAGGCAATAGAATCACTTGAACCCAGGAGGCCGAGGTTACAGTGAGCCAAGATTGGGCCACTGTACTCCAGCCTGAGCAACAGAGCAAGTCTCTGTTTCAAAAAAAAAAAAAAAAAAAAAAAGTCCTATCTTCCCTTCCATCACCGAAGACTCTCAATCTAGCACAGACAAGATCTCTACGATAAAATTAGTGAAACTCCAGTCTACTCTCCTTTCTCTCAAATGCAGCAAGGTCCTGAGAATTAAGCCCCGCCAAGGGGTGGCCTGGATCTCTGGCACACTTCATCACGGGATGGTCTCCCAAGTGCCCCCATATTATTAAAAGGATATAGGTCTCTTAATTTATTCTGCTTACTTACCCATTTTTCCAAATTTTGCAATAAACACAGATTATTTGCACTACAAAAAGGTATATTTGTAAAAGCCTTAATTAAATGAAGGCACTCAATTTACCCTAGTATCTAAAGCTAAAAACTCATAAAATGGTATATTGTGTCCATCATTAGTTTGTCCCAACTTTCTCCCCCAGACCTAAAGTCTTTCACAACCTACTACAAACTTAAGATTTGGTGGCATTGGAAAAGAAGTCACTATATCATAAAGACACTGGCACATGTATGTTTATTGCAGCACAATTCACAATTGCAAAGATATGGAATCAACCTAAGTGCCCATCAACCAATGAGTGGACAAAGAATATGTCATATATATACACTATGGAATACTATTCAGCCATAAAAAGGATAGAAATAATGTCTTTTGCAGCAAGTTGGATGGAACTGGAGGCCATTGTTCTAAATGAACTAACTTAGAAACTGAAAACCCAATATTGCATCTTCTCATAAATGGGAGCTAAGCTATGGGTGCACAAAAGCATACAGAGTGATATCATGGACCTGGAGACTCAGAATGGAGGAAGGTAGGGGAGGTGAGGGATGAAAAACTACCTATTGGGTACAATTTACACTACTCCACTTGACAGGTGCACTTTACCACTGTACGATTAATCTGTGAAACCAAAAACCACTTGTACCCCTAAAGCTATTGAAATAAAAAATGTATATAAAAGAAGTTAGTGACATTGAACTTCTCATTTTTCAAGGAGGATATTATACCCACCCATGATTCCTTGCTTTTTTTTTTTTTTTTTTTTTTTTTGCTTTTTTTCCTTGAGATGGAGTCTCACTCTGTCACCCAGGCTGGCGTGCAGTGGGCAATCTCGGCTCACTGCACCCTCCACCTCTCAGGTTCAAGCGATTCTCCTGCCTCAGCCTCCCGAGTAGCTGGGACTATAGCCATGCGCCACCACGCCCAGCTAATTTTTGTATTTTTTTAGTAGAGACGGGGTTTCACCATGTTGGCCAGGATGGTCTCCATCTCTTGACTTCTTGATCCGCCTGACTTGGCCTCCAAAAGTGCTGGGATTACAGGCATGAGCCACCGCGCCCAGCCAATTCCTTGCTTTTATAAATTTGTCTCTCTACCTGGATTTCCTTCATTCCTAATTCATAAGAAAAAATAATCTTATCCTTCAGAGTCCAAGTGAAATGTCAGCTTCCTCCGGGATCTCCTAGGTGTTGTCACTCCCTCTCCTGTGCTCCCAATGCCCGTGACTCATAACCTACCCTGTTTTACTGCAGTTCAGTGTCTTGTGTGTTACTTTCACAAGGTGGGGTTGATTTTTCTGCCCAATCTTTTTATTCCCAGAATTCTAACAGAGCACCTTGAATGTTTTAGCCACTCCAAACAAACTGAATGACTACTGAATAAATAAATGACTGAATGAATAAGTCAATTTTGTCAGCAACAACGACACCATAGTAAATCAGAGAGCAGATGGATAAGGTCAGCAAGAAGGGAGGCTGATGACTCTGGGGCTCAAACATTAGAAATGAAGATGAGGAAAGAGACAGAAAGACTTAGGACAACAATCATGATTCACATTGAGGAAAACTCCTAGGTTAGGAGCTACCTGTGAACTTCTAAAGTCTATCTTAATAAAAGATGCAATGATCAAAATGTCAAGGGCTCTCATTGGTCTTTACAGATACTCAAATAATTATCCCATCTCATTGCTACACCACATAGAGTGTCTTATTTCAGTAACTGAAACTACGTGCTTTCTCATTTCACAGTGAAGTCTTCTATACATTTCTCCAAGGCACCGTTGAAACTGGGGGAAGTGCATGCTTTTAACAAAACTGACACTGAGTCTACTCTCACAGCCAATGTCTCCCCACAATATGAGAACAATGGGAAAAAATGGAAAGGAATTCTGCATTTGGCCATTTTTTTTTCCACCTGAGATTCTTGAGAAAGTGATTCAATCAGCCCTTTCCGATAACTGGCTATTACATTTCTCAGGCAAGATGAACATAGTGCAGCAAGCCCGTGAATTTCCGCCTGCTGACGCCTCTATTAAGCAAATCAGCCCTTTCTCTTCTACTCCTTTAGGTGATTTTCTGACAATATAATACTGCAATACTGCAAACAATAAACACCTGCCACCCACCCTATGGCAGAACTGTAATTTCCATAAAACTAAGCTGCAACAGAGGCCCTGTCCATTCCAATGAGGATGTAATCTCACCTGGATCATTGGCCAAGCATGAATAAAAGTCATTATTTCTTGCCTTTATTTTATACCATGGGATGATAGAAAGTCACAGATTCATAACAGGCAGAGATTGCTGTGTGAGTAACTGGCAATTCTGCTTCTCTAAATTCATTTCTAGTTAAACCAGACCAGGTAGAACTGTATTTTGTGTCACCTCTTTTACTCTCCAAATTTTTTGTTTACTCCTATTTGTCCTATATTTAAAAAATAAAGAAAAATGTCAACTTCAGCTCCCCGAGGTTGCTGCCTAATGCCTCCATGTGGATACATTGAGCGTTCATATGTGGGAGCTCTCTAATGCCAGCGGATCAATATAATGAGCATAGAGTTTAGACGATCAACCCCGGTACAAAACAGCAACTGAGAAAAGCTCATCAGACTGCACGCATTCTCAGATTACTGTGTGGAAAACAGCAGGTAACCTCAACTCGGTGAATGCTATTCCTCACCTAAGTATTGTCCTACAGAGGCTGATAAAAGCCCGCCTTGGCATGGGCAGATTCTAAACAGAAAAGTCAACTCATCACTCTGTGACTTCAACTACTCTCTGTCACCCCATAGCAGTCCCTTACTCAAAGTCTGTGCAAAGCCCATGTTTGAGTCTACTCTCACAACCAATGTCTCCCCACAATATGAGAACAATAGGAAAAAATGGAAAGGAATTCTGCATTTGCCCATTTTATTTTCCATCTGAGATTCTTGAGAAAGTGATTCAATCAGCACAAAACTTAATGATTAAATACATAATCAGATAGTGGCCTTATTTTCAAAGATATGAATGCAAATGTTAATTGCTAAAAACATAAATTTTTAAAAAGCAGATCAAAAGCCTCTCCATGCTCTTCTGTCATTAACTATTCTGAAATGAGGGATTGCTCAACTCCCTCCTGACTATTCTCAGGTCTGTCATATGTCTTTCAAAACTGTCCACACAAGGCCCACTTACAGCAGAATTGCTTGGCTGCTACAGTGCATGCCAGGTGATAAATTCACTGGTGTGCAGAGGCCATGCAGGCTCTCCATGCCTTCTGCTGCCTCCTGGTTCCAGCTGAGCTGCAATAAGTTCGACGGACTTTCCTGCAGGACCTAGGTGACCTTCTCCGGCACTTTGATGTTAAATACAGTTCACTGGTGTCACGGCTGGAACTTAAGTGGGTTAACTGTGCTGTCTCAAGCAGGTTCACAAATTTATATTCTATACAGTCACAGTTTGCAGACCTTTAACTTCACCCCAATTTTGAATCCATTTACTGTCAACCTCCCAAAAAGCATGGCGAGGTAACCGATAAGAAATACAACTTCATTGAGATGTGGGACAGGCCATTATGATCTCTATAGATGGTAATAAAATGGGCACCAGGAAATTCCATTTTCCATCTGGGGAGTGAAGTACATTTTTCTAGCACTAACCTGTCACCTTTATTACAGGTGAACACACAGACACCAATATCTATTTTATAAATGTGGAAACTGCACCATCAAGAAGTTGAATGTCTTTACCAAAACCTGTTACTTACTAGAGACGAAGAAACATGGACACAAGGTATCTGTCATCTTTTCAGATCTCCTCCAAATGATTTACACAGACTGCCTAAGAGTTAAATACAGATCTGGGGATTTTATATCTATTTTTTAACTCTATCTGGAACCACACTACTCATGTTGTGGCTGGGAAAGATTGTTTTCCATTTAGGTTTCAATGTTTTCATCTGTGAATACATAAGGACATTTATTGGCCACTATTATATAACCTTGCCAAGGAATCAAGGCCTTCGCTCATCAGAAATGTCAATGTAATTGCTAGCCGTACATAAAATTCAAAGGAAATCGGTAAATTATATACATAACACACGGGGTATATATATAAAGGAGAGTGGGCTGTGAAGGTGCAAAGAAGGGTGGTAGAGGGGGTTGGGAATGGGAGGCTGCGAGAGACAACCTCTCTGCCAAGAAGCCTAGAGCCTGGTCCCAGGTTTTGGCACCAAATGTTAGGAAAACGTAAAGGAAGAGAGTGAGAGATGGGAGGCAACTCAATGGCCAAACAGGTTAATTCACAGGAATAAGCCCGTGAGGGGTCCCAGTCAGGAGTCTGACTGAGACCCTGATTGCTTACAAGCTGAGGCTTTTATAAGAAAGTTTTTTATTTGGGAGGAGAGGTTGGGTAAATGCTGGCCGGTTGGGACTTCCGGGAACTGTACAGACACAGAGTCTCATTCTGCTGCCCAAGCTGGAGTGAAGATCATGGCTCACTGCAACCTCCACCTCCCAGCTCAAGCAATCCTTCCCCTTCAGCCTCCCAAGGAGTGGGGACTACAGGCATGCACTCCAAATGAAGCTAATTTTTGTATTTTTTTGTAGCCACAGGGTCTCGCTATGATGCCCAAGCTGGTCTTGAACTCGTGGGCTCAAGCAATCCACCAGCCTTGGCCTCCCAAAGTGCTGGGATTACAGGCATGAGCCACTGACTGGCCAAATTATATACTGATAAATAGTAATGGAGGGAATCAGTTATAGATTATTAACTTTATTTTATACAAAATTTGGGCAGGATTTATATCCCTGTTTTTGCTAGAAAAACCAAATCAATCTTTTCACATGAAATCAAAGATAAGACTTGTTAGTTCCTTTTTCTCCCTCATTTTCTATTGACTGTCTTGAATTTTTTAAATTATCCTTAATTGCCTCAGTGTAGCAATTGGATAAAGCAATTTTTTCTGCCCATATCAAATGAAAAGTATTCAGTTTAATAAATATGTATAACAATGCCAAGCCCTCAGAATGACATTTTATTAGCATGAATAAAAATTATATAAATCCTTTGATTTTTACTCTTACATAACTCTTTGATAAACCCTGTGTTAATTCTAAATGTGCTTATGTTTCATCAAAATAATTTGGATTGTCATTGTTCTAACTAGGCAATACTTTATGTCTTTTGTTGTTGTTCTTTGTTTTTGTTTTGTTTTTCTTCAGGCGAGACTTTTCTAACAGTATATCTAAGAGAAATGATATTTTGGGGTGGATTGTCAATAAAGCAAATCTCAAAAATACATAAAACCTCATTCTTTTTCAATAAAACTAGCACTCAACAACACACCTTCTGCTTAATGCTGGCAATTTACAACTTCCTGGTCTAAAGAAATAAAGCCCTGAACAGCTTATAAAATGACTTAAGAGATTTTTTTTTTAAACATAAGCCAATCTTGGCCAAATAGCACTTGGATGAGTTAAGAATAAACAACATATAAAGAGATAGATAGATCAGATTTCCTTTGAAATCACAAAAGTCTCAAAATTAAGAATTTTAAAAAGCTTTGCATTTGAGAGGCTCAAAGGTTTTGGACAACAGTTCAGTTATTTTTTCAACCCTCAAAAATGCTTGGTACTATGTTATTAATAAGGAAATAGTTCAATGAGTCAGTGTCTGAGCTTTCATTGCCTTGAAGCCAGTCCAAAATGGGAATTTCTGGCACTGGAGACCAACTTTATAAGCTTTCAAAACATGTTTTAGTTTTTGAAACACTGAGCTGGATTTTGCCACTGAAATCACTAAGCTGAGTCTCATATATACTCTCCAAGGTGACAAGCGTTTATCCCTTCTTCTTGAGTTCCATACAACTAAGCCGTAAAGTAAATGTGGTAGCATCTATTCAAAACTGTACTGAGTGAAAACACACACAGTACTGGTCACAAATGAAGCCTCCAACAAACCCAACCCCAGGGACACTCCAAAAGGCTAAAGTCAAGTAAGTGGAATCATGACTCATAGAAGGAAGCCTCACCTCCAACACCATCTCCTTCCTCCTGATCCCAGAACCTGTGCTTTAAAAAAATAGCAAGTAAACAAAGCTTTCACTGATGTGTGTCTCACTGCCTCTCTACACCAACACACACACATAACCCTACCCTCCAGGGACAGCCCCATAAAGTACAAGTTACGATAAGCTTTTAACCACACTGGAACACTATCTCTCAATTCACAATGGGTAGGCAGAGGCATATGTCTAGCTCCAGAGCCTCTGCCAGCCTGTAGAGCATTTCTGTGGACATCAGAATTGGGTGTCCTCTGGGTAAAACATTTAGACACAGTTGTCCTGGCTGAGAACGGTGGCTCACGCCTGTAATCCCAGCACTTTGGGAGGCTGCGGCAGGCAGATCACTTGAGGTCAGGAGTTCGAGACCAGCCTTGCCAACAAGGTGAAACCTCGTCTCTACTAAAAATACAAAAATTAGTCGGGCATGGTGGTGCATGACTGTTAGTCCCACCTACTCGGGAGGCTGAGTCAGGAGAATCACTTGAACTCGGGAGACGGAGGTTACAATGAGCCAAGATCATGCCACTGCATTCCAGACTGAGACAGAGTGAGACGCTGTCTCAAAAAAATAAAAAAATTAAAAAAAATTGAACAATTAAAAAAAAGATAGACACAGTTGTCCCAACTGGCCCTAATACACTGGGCTTGGCACATGGAATGCAGGCTCTATTTCAGCCCCTTGCCTCACTAGGCCAGGGCCTATGTGCAGAGCACAGACCACACAACACAATTGTCCTGTAGCCCTGTGTAGCCTCACTGGCTCCATGAAAGCTAAAGCTGCAACCTTAAGGAAGAGGGAAATTGTAATCATAACAGAGTTTTCGATGGGGAAAAATGCAGCTAAGAGTAAAATTAACTTAGCATGCTTTGTTTTTGTCTGGTTACGTAATGATGCATGGTCTAAGTCAGTTAATCATCTGAGAGTCTGTGCTCTGTGAAAGCAAGAATCAAGTCTTCTTAGAATACTTGCCAAATCCCTAAGTGAATGTCATAGCTTTCCAGAAGAAGGGAGGTTCTCATTATTAGTTACGAGGAAGACGGCCAACAGGGATGAAACTGTCCCTCTGAAACATCTACAAAATCATATATCCTCTATGCTTTTGATTAATTGTCTCTTATTGATGTCCTGTGAACATACTTTCTCAAATTTAACACATAAAAATCAAGATGATTTTGTAGGTCACATTCTAAGTGATACTTTTAAAATTATGAAACCAAAGTCCTGCTTTTAAAATTCATATGCCCAGTGTTTTGGGAGGCCAAAGTGGGAGGATCACTTGATGTCAGAAGTTTGAGGCCACCCTGGGCGACAAAAAAAAAAAAAAAAGAAGAAGAAAAGAAAAAGAAAGCCAGACATGGTGGTGCACACCTATAGTCCTAGCTGCTTGGGAGGCTGAGGTGGGAAGACTGTTTGAGCCCAGGAGTTCAAGGCTTCAGTGAGCTATGATCATGCCACTGAACTCCAGCCTGGGAAACAGAGCTAGACCCTCTCTCTATAAAAAATAAAATAAAATAAAGTAATAAAAATAATAAAAATCATACAAACTGAAGTTAATTTAAATGTTCACTTAAACAGAATAAAGGCTGGGCATGGTAGCTCATGCCTATAATCTCAGCACTTAGGGAGGATTAGGCCAGCAGGTTGCTTGAGGCCAGGAGTTCAAAAACAGCCTGGGCAACAAGGCGAAACCCTGTCTCTACAAAAAATACAAAAATTATCTAGGTGTGATGGTGCATGCCTGTGGTCTCAGCTACTTTGGAGGCTGAGGTGGGAGGATTGTTTGAGTGGAGGTAGCTCTGAGCAGATGGGGGCAGCCAAAAGGGGGAATGGAGTGGGAGGGTTTTCCCCTGGAGTAGGGCCACTCAGTGGCCTGGCCTCTCCTCTGACTGCCCCAGCCAAACTCCCCCTCCTTCCACCAGTTCATGGCCTGGTGGCATGCCACATATGCCTGTGCATTCCTCTTGACATCCAGCCACCATCCATCCTCAGTGGAGGAACACATGCTCCTCTGGATGTCCAGCCATCTTTGTGTCTGCCTGCTATGGTCTCTGGGGTTTTTATAGGCACAGGATGGGGGTGTGGCAGGCCAGGTTGGTCTTGGGAAATGCAACATTTAGGGAGGAAATGCCTGTCCTCACCTAGGTCTGTGGGGGTGGAGCCCTAGCCAGGGACCACACCCTCCTCTGCTCAGCAGTTCCTTTCCCCCTACCCCACCACCCGTTATGTATCATTTAAAGGGACCATGCTCTTCCCTTCCCAGCACTGCCGTATCACACGCAACCATGACAGCCACAGGAGCTTGGCCTCACGGTTGGGAATTAGCAGGGGCAGAGGCAACAAGATATATTGCCCCATCTAAAAGTGGTAAAGTGATAGCAAATACCACCTCCAGCCACTGACTGCTGTGTGAGAATGTTGTTGTTATAAAATTACTTGAGTGTGTGTTTGGGGGTGGGTAAAGTTGTCATTTGTTTTCTTTTCTACTCCATTCCTCCTAAATCAACAACTCTGCAGTATCATAAATGTCTGACTTTTCAAACAGCCTTTCACACACTAGAAGGTAGTTCACACCTAGTGTTCGCCTAGCATTTTCTTCTGCAGACTAAACATAGTAACTTTTACAATCACCTTGTTGTGTTGTGTCTAGAATGGAATCGTCTAGATAGAGTTTGAACACACCATGACCAAAGGGCAAGATTTAATAATAAAAGGCACAAGAGAAAGGCAAAATAAACCAAAGGTCTGATGGGCCAAGAATTACCACTATCAGCTGCAGGTATATATCAAAAAGAAAATGTATTATATAATACCAAACATGTCCATAAGAAATAACTGTGAGGACAATACATATTGCTGTCTTTCTCTGAATTCATTTTGCTTCTTGTTTTTTAACTGGGTAGACTATCAGCTCAATTTGTTAATTTCTTTCCTTAAAACAATTAACTATTAATTATAGTCACTGTTATTAGCCATCTCCAATTCTTCCAAGCTGCAGATATTTTTACAGCAGGCTCCCAACAAGCTTGGCAGTTTAGAATATTCTCTGGCAGCAAGCTGCATTCCTGTTAGCAAGTGCCTACATGCAAGATAATGTCCTTTTTTAATAAGGTTTTTGTGCAAACCAAAATAAGAACAACACTGTAAAAGCACACCTAATATCGATTAAAACCAAAGTGTTTATAAGATGGATTTTTATTTTCACCCTTTTGGATAAGAATATGACATACTGTATTAATTGAAAAGCAGTTTTCAAAGAGCACACTATTAGGAATAATCAGACGCTATTTACAGAGTTAGACCCTGTATTTACATTTCTCCCTAGTTTATAGCCACAGTGCAATACAGGAAATACCCTATATTTACAATTGTACAAAATCCAAGTTTACATAATCAACACTGCGCTTCTCACAATCTGCCCTGACCCATCCCATGTGTCATTAACTATCCAGATTGTTTCCTGGGAGACAGACCTCACAGGATCCTCAGATGCAGGAATGCAGATTTATACTTAATACAGTCATGCTTATATGCCCTGCAACTCAACTTGCACTCCATACATGATGAAATAACTTCTTAACGATTGAGAAATGCTTAGCAATCTATTACTTGATACCGAAAGGGAAGCCATTCTCATCCATGTCCTTTTAAGAAAGTTTATTTGTTGTTTGAGGTAAGAAAATCTTCCATAATCAAGCTACTTATGTTCGTCAAGAGTCTCGATATTAAAGTATGGGAAAGTACTGCCTGTGTTAATATTTTACTTTTCTTTAATATGTTCTCTCACACAATTTCTAAGCCTCCCAAATCCAAAGTTAGAGGCCAGACCAAGCTTCTATTTTTGTTGTTTTAAAATACATCATAGTTGAACACTTTATTTCATTACAAAATAGTTGCATCGATTTGCTCAACTTGTGTTTAATGTACTTGATGTCAGAAAAGATCGGTCAGCTCATGATCCTCCATGCCCCTATGTGCTTTTCAATGTTTCCAAGGCCTTCCTTTCACAGCTTCCCTTAATGTAGAGAATGGACTGACTTTGAACTCTACCTGCCCTGTTCTTCTCGTCACTTAGGCTTATAGGAAGCTCCACCTGCTTTGCAAAGCATTTTCTCAACTACTGCAACCCAGGTTAATTACATTCTTTTGAAAAGAATGGGTGGAATTTCCTGACTCTTTCATGAACCAGCTACACATCTTAAACCACAGATCTCTTGGTCTCTCTCAAACAGTGGAGGACTAGATGAAATTGGCATGCCTGGGGTAACTCATCTAAACTAGGATATCTGACCTGCTCAGCTCTTCTGGCAAGAAGATAGTATCTATAGGGCTACCATACACAAATTATCCAATGGCTGAAATGGAGTGTGGGAACTTAGATCTCAGTCCAAAACTGCTGAATGCAGTGATGGGACACCAGCATAGAAAGGGTAAAAATATTCCAGTAGTTCATTCAAACCCGAGGAGAAATACAGTGGGTTCTTTTGGCATAACTCACCAGGAGAGTGTGTGCTGTGAACTTTGCAAATAGGTTCACTGCCTTAACATGAGGAAAAACTGATCATGATTGTGTGTTTTCTTTGTTGTCCAGTCCCCCAGTTTATGAGTTATTCACAGGCAGCTGAAGCAGAATATAGGCATTTAATTTATTTTATCGTAATGCATTCAGATGAGTAGGTTTTAAATACCCACTAAAAAGTTTACTCAGCTATTGACACATATCATGGACTTTTGGAGAATTAAAGGTCTCTAAGAGACCCATATTGTCTGAATCCCTTTCTTACTAATGTGAGAAAATACAAACAGCCTAAACTTAAAAGGACAGTTATTGAAATTCAGACTGAACATATGTGCTTAAAATCCAGAAACTGCATTCCCTTTCATTGCTGAAAAGGATTGAGGCTGAACTGAATCAGATATTTTCAAGAATTTCAAAACCATTTATGAGAATTTATGTCCACAATTCAAAGGAAAGTCATAGAATTTGAAGAGTATGAAGCATGCTTTAAGTTTTTGTGATACTTTTGATGCTCAATTTCAGGATGGATTTGAAGTATCATGGAAAATATATTTTTGTTTATAAGGTAGCCTGGCTGAGCTTAAAGCGAACTGTAGCCCACCAAGAACATAAAATATCCTTAATGTTGTTATAGCAGTACCAAAAAATTGAACACAGTTCTATCCTGCCTCTGTGCCCAGCCTTGGAGCAATGCTCAAGTCACCATGAAAATGTTCTTTCTCACACCGCACTGCCAGACTCAATGCTTATGACACTCTTAGCAACATAAAGCAAGAGTCAGACTCAAGAAAAGCCCTGACTAAATAAACTTCACAATTTTCTAGAAGAGTTGAGATATTGTCAATAGTGACTTTCCAACTTAGATGATGAAAATCAGTCAAAAGCCACACCTACCAGTGAGCCTTTTATAAAGAATGGTCTTCAAACTCTTTTCATAATACTTTCATTATTTTTAATCATCCCTCTTTTTGAATGACTAAAAAGTTATATTTAACCACTGTTGCTACAAAAATCTCTGCTCTGCATACACATGGAATTTTGCTCTAGAGACTCAATGTTGGGAAATCATGAGTATACCTGGATGACATGATTATTTAAATTACAGAAAATTATAACTATGACGATTACTCCAGTTTTCAAGCACTGAATAGGTGCCAGGTATTGTACATATTTATTTCTAATCCACAGATCTATGGGGAAAAGTTTGAGTTCACTGCAGCTCTACCACTGTGTAGCTCAGTGAGATTTGTCTCTGGACTTGAGTTGCTTGGTATGTTAAATGGTGATAATAATAATAATAAATAATCATTTCCTAAAGTGTGACAATTGTTTTATATAGTACATAGCTTAGCATAGTGCCTATAAATAATTGTTGGCTACCATTACCATTGTAATTTTTATTTGAGTATTTTTGAGACTTTGATTGCTTATGTATCCATATGTATTTTGAAAAAAGAAAAAAAGTCCCCTTCCAGGTTGGGCACGATGGCTCACACCTGTAATTCCAGCACTTTTGGAGGCTAAGGTGGGCGGATCACCTGAGGTCAGGAGTTCAAGACCAGTTTGGCCAACGTGGCGAAACCCCATCTCTACTAAAAAAAATACAAAAATGAGCCAGGCGTGGTGAGGTGCCCCTGTAATCCCAGCTACTCAGGAGGCTGAGGCAGGAGAATTGCTTGAATCTGGAGGCAGAAGTTGCAGTGAGCCATGATCCTGTCATGAGCCATGATCCTGTCACTGTACTCCAGCCTAGGTGACAGAGTGAGACTCCATTAAAAAAAAAAAACAAAACAAAACACAACTCCCTCCACATAATTTCCCCGTAAATATTTTATCTACGTTGATGCGGCTCACATTCTTACCCACAGAGCATTTCCAAGTCAGATGTACTTTGTACTTTCTAGGATGCAAGAGAGGTACACATGAAAGCACCACCTGGCTGTTAGGCTTGAGCTGAGATAGAGGGAAGGGAAAAATAAGCTCTCTATTCCTAAACAAGCTCTCAGCAAGTTGCAGAGGCTACAGCAGCTGTTTTTTTTCTTCTTCTTCTTCTTCTTCTTTTTTTTTGGTTTAACATGAATAAATTTTTAAAAGTATAGGGAGGACTTCCAGTTCCAGAAGGATGGGGCAAGCATATTTTGCCTTAGTCCACCCTCTTATCATACCTAAAACCTTGGATAAATCAAATGAACCAAGCAGCAGAAGATTCCAAAAGGTAGAGACGGAGAAGACAGAGTTTCTAGGGACCTCAAGATGGAAGAAACGACTTAGTGACCTGATTAAAAGAACTGTTAAAGGAAGTTCTTCAGAGAGAGAAAATTACAACAAAAGGAACTTGGAACATCAGTGCAAAGGAAGAACAATAGAGCAGGAAAATCTATGGGTAAAATACACTACTCATTTTCTCATGATTTTTTAAAATTAAATCTGATAATTGAAAGCAAAATTATATATTGTAATGTAGTTCTCAATGTATGTAAAGAAGACATTTAGGACAATGTGAGATGGCTAAAACATCTTAAATGACAGTAAGAGTCATACATTTCATTTGAAGTGCCAAAATATTGATATTAGTAGACTTTGATAAGTTTCAGATGTATTGCATCATCTCTAGAGTAACCACTAAAAATATACAAAAAGATATTCTCAGAAACACTATAGGTAGAGCAAAATGGAACACTAAAAATGTTCAAATCACTCACAGGAAAGCAGAAAGGGGAAGCAGATAAACAACAATAAAGGAAAACAAACAGAAAACAAATATTAAAATGGCAGAGTTGAGCCTTAACAAATTACCAATAATTTTATTAAGTGTAAATGTTCTAAATATACCAGTTAAAGGACAGAGATTGGTAGAGTAAATTTAAAAAAAATGACTCATCAATACAGTGTCTATGAGAAACTAACTTTAATTTTATTGATAGAGGTAGTATGAAAGTAAAGATGTGTCATACAAACACCAATCAAAAGAAATCTAGAGAGGCTACATTAGTAGCTAGAGTGGCTACATTAATACCACATAAAGTAGACTTCAGACCAATGAAAATTACCAGAGACAGAAAGGGATTGTCTTGATAAAACTGTCAATCCATCAAGAAGACATACAATTTTAATTCATGGTTTCAGGTCATAAAGGTGTGGGACTAGACTTTGACTATTGTACTTGTGTGACCCTGGGCTTCAGTTTTCTAAAAGTTTCTCTCAGATTCTGTCTTCCCATCCTAAAATAATGGGACTGATGGAGTCTATGCTATAGAATTGTTCAAAGGTATAAATTAGGTCATTACATGAAAGTACCAAGATCTTGTTTTATGTTCGCTTTTCTCTTTACTATGCTATAAATGCTTTGGCCTGAAAAAGAACCTAAGAAATCCTTGAAGTAACTTTAACGTTTCAACTCTTTACTTATCATTTATTTCTCGTGAATGGTCATGAGCATTATGGAAGATTGCAATTTGGTGAATTAATTAAGATATTAGAAATGCAGATTCTAAGTAACTTTAAAACCCACTCTGTAATGCAAGTAAATCAATGGAATATCTACTGAGACAGAATATAGTGATTGCATATGGTAATGAAGTGGAATCCCAATGATTACATACTTTACCTAGCTCTTCTTTTCAGAATTAAAATTGAAAGGAAAAGTAAGGAATGACAGAGATTAATAAGACCATGCAATTATAATTTAATATTCTACATAAAAGAAGAAATGAAAAAAAGAAAAATGATTCTCAAAGTAATTTCACTTGATGTATTCCTTCTTTCCTTCCTTCCTTCCTTCCTTCTTTCCTTCCTCCCTACCTCCCTACCTCCCTCCCTTCTTCCCTCCCTTCTTTCCTCCTTCCCTTCTCTCCCTCCCTCCTGCTCTCCCTCTGCCTGCTTCCTTCCTTCCCTTCTTTATTGTCATTTTCAGTAGAAAATGGAGGATCTTATCTTTTCCTTTCAAGCATAATACTTACCATTGTATGTGCTTGTGTCTGTGTGTTTGTCTGTGTGTGTGTCTGTGTTTTAACTACTCTGATGATTCGGGTAGAACTAAAATAAAAAGCTGTAGTTGAAATTAACTTTTCTATTTCCACAGTAAATGGTCTAGGTCAAAATGTAATATTACAAAAGATACAATAAACACTTTCTAAGAAAAAGAAACAGAAAATAATAATGAAAGTAATTCCCCACTCCCAGCATACTCTTTTATCACCTGCTATTGATAGCTGATGACACAGCCTCCTAAAGCTGGCAGGCACTATTATTTTCATCCATCATAATTGATCAAAACACTACAGTGAAGCGAGAGATTTACACATTCACCCTACATTTCGACTTAATTTTAAGAAACGACTTAAGTTACCAAATGAGTTACTAAACGAATAATTGTAAATAAAAGAGTTGAAATTTGAAACATCTAAGTTTGAAATCAGCAATGCACTAATAGGAATAAAACTGAGGGTATTAGTCCGGTATTACACTGCTATAAAAAATACCTAATACTGGGTAATTTATAAAGAAAAGAGGTTTAATTGGGTCATGGTTCCACAGGCTGTACAGGAAGCATAGCTGGGGAGGTCTCAGGAAACTTACAATCACGGTGGAAGGAAAGGGAGAGCAGGAGGAAAAGAGAGAAAGGGGAGGTGCTACACACCTTTAAACACCCGGATCTCTTGACACCTCTATCACAAGAACAGCAGCAAAGGGAGAAATCCACCCCCACGATCCAATCACCTCCCACCAGGCCCCACTTCCAACACTGAGGATTACAAATCGACTTGAGATTTGGGCAGGAACACAAATCCAAACCATGTCACTGATGTTCCTAGATTTCTTCTGGGGATTCAATTCATTGTGTATAGCTGCATTCAAAAACATTCAGATACTTTGACAACTTGTGAGATCTAGGACACTAGAACCTACTAAAGTCATGCTCTCGAGTCAAAGCTTAAGAAAACAGTCTTTCAGCTGTATTTTTCATAATTAAACTGCCTTAGGAAAGAGGTGCAGATTAACACAGCTCCAGTAGCTCCTGGTTTTCTGCACTATACAGTTAGGATAGCCAGTAATTTAAAAAATATAATGAGATCTTTGGATGATAATCAGAAGAAAAATCCACTGTCTAGCTAGAGAAAGAGCTAGTGAGGTCATAAATTTATTTTATCATATTTAATTGTTGTCATTTATCAATTTTTATGTTCATAGGCTTTATATAGTACTAACTTCTAAAAGGATTTGTGGCAGTTTTCAAAGTTATTCCTAATGTTAATTATTACCGTTTTTAAAGTAAGTAAAATAAGGATCTTTAAGGAAGAGTAAAGAAAATAGATGGCACCAATATCTCGTATCAACAGATGTTACCAATATCATTACTCCTGTTGTCCAGGACCGATAAATTTGATTCTGAAAAAAGTGATATCAAAGTCATATGTATCATAAGGTAATTAAGGCAGGATTTGCTAGCCTACATAAGAGATGTTTGATAACTAGCTTGTATATTCACCTCCCAAAGTCCCATTCTCTTCATGTTATAGCTAAGTTCTAGCTCATTTTGTTAAACAGTTTACCAGAATGTTCAAATGGGAAAGCTCAGATTGATTCCTCTTCATTTGATGAATTTTATTTCAAGATAAGCTTATAAAAGTCTGCATTCATAGACAAAGAATAAAACAAGTTTTTGTATTTCTTTTTAAAATATCAACTGGCTTATAGAAAAACAGGCAAAAAAAACCCACTAAGATAAAGCATTCAGCAGCTCAGCTCTAATAGCTCTGTACACTCAGACTAAATTCCCTTTAGAATACCAAAGAAGCAAAATGCTTCAGGGCTGTTCGTCCAAAGTCTTGAGATGCTGTGATTGAAAGTAACATGTGGAATCAGTTTGAGAAAAATAAACTAAGTCGAAAGAAAATGGCACAAGTAATAAGCCAAGATAGAGTGGAGCCTATATAGAGAAAAGAAATAGCTTCAGGGAAATATTTTGAGACACAGCAGACAGACATTTCAGAGAAAGAGAAACAATTTGCTTACATAGAACATACACTCTTAAATATGTATCGATCTATTCACTATCCATATTTGCACAGAATTAAATACTGATCTGTAACACAGAAAAATTGTAATATATTTTCATTGATAAAATAATTTTCTTTTTTAATGAACTAAAAATAGAAAAGACTGTATGTGTCTTGGCATGGTAGAAAAAGCTCTCAACTAGAGACAAGAGTACTGGGTTCTACCTGGCTCACTCACCAAAGGCTCTGGCTTCAATGGGGAGGTTATTTCATTTCTCTGGGTCTTCAGTTTTCACAACTATAAGGTGAAACGAGATGACTTCAAAGATCCCTTAAGTTCTGTCTGTGAATCCATAAGCCTAGCACCTCTCATGGCTTGGATGTTTGACAAAGGCTCTACTGAAGCTGATACCTACTTTTTTACCATCACAAGCAAATATAATGTAAGGTATATGGGAAATTTTATATGGCAAAACAGTAACCTTAGAGAACTTGAATGAGACAACTAAGGAGGTTTTATTTAAAATTATGCTAGAGCAAATTGGAACATGTTTACAGGAGGCATTCAGTATTTAAAGTTATGTGTAGGTAAAATATACCTAGAAGGGTAAACTTTAGATTTTTATCCCCTTCCACAGACACATTTCAGTTTTTAGCACTATCTCAGAATGATCAACACGCTCAATGATTCCTTTCATGTTTCTGGCCTAGTTTTTGAGCATACACACTAGATAATCTGTACTCACACTTTCAAATATTATATGGTCTTGGATCAAGGAAGGTTAACACCAGGTAATACCTGCAGCCCATTTCCTGGTGAGCAAGTCACACCCCCGAGAAGGTCCAAACTTTTGAGAACGAGATGAGGCATAAACTAAGCTATTCTTTTTTGTTTTGTTTTGTTTTTTGTTTTCTGAGACTCAGTCTCACACTGTCCCCTCAGCTGGAGTGCAGTGGCATGATCTCAGCTCACTGCAACCTTTGCCTCCCAGGTTCAAGCGATTCTCTGCCTCAGCCTCCCAAGTAACTGGGATTACAGGCACCTGCCACCACACCAGGCTAATTTTTTGTATTTTTAGTGAAGACAGGGTTTCACTATGTTCACTAGGCTGGTCCCGGATGCCTGACCTCATGATTCACCTGCCTCGGCCTCCCAAAGTGCTGGGATTACAGGTGTGAGCCACTGCACCCGGCCTGAACTAGGCTATTCTTAGATAGTGGCAGCTGGTGGGGATAGGCATGGAATGTTCTATCTTCCACCTTTGAAGCAGCTCTTCAACATTCCTGTGCCTCTTCTAATAAGAACTTCAAAAAAAAAAAAAAAAAAAAAAAGCAACCACTTAAAAAGTGATGTCTCTCCAAGTCTCAGGTGACCAAAAGGGAAAGGGTAGTTATCAGAGCTCTAGTGGAAGGACCCAGTCCTTTATTATTTCACAGAAGGCACCAGATCCGTAATCCCACAGTCTCTCAGTGACTCATTTTCCCCGCCCGGATAGTGATTATAATAGTAGTATCAACTTTATTGAGTTGTGAAGATTAAATGAGATAATCCATTTAAACTCCTTAGAAAAATGCGAGAAACACATACTACATGTCACAAAAATGTTGTTGTTCTTCTGATTATCATTATTATCGTACAGCAGCAGCATCCTGACTCCCTGGACAATGAACATTTAATTTCCAAAGATGAAAGAGGTTTACAAGTACAAATCCACTGAACTTGCAGACATATATATATATATATATATATATATAAAAGTGTACAATTTACTAGTCACTGTTACGTCCTGTCCCTGGGGTTCGTGGATGTCAATGATATTGCTGTTACACAATGGTGACTTCAAAAATTATAACATCACCCTGGACCACTCAGGCTTTGTAAAATGTATGTGAAAGATTAACACAGGCAAAACACGGATTTTTGATTTTATGTTCTGAACTAAATATTTCCCAAAATACGTGCAAGTAGAATTTTGGGGTCCCAAGTATGAACAGCACTAAAGATGACATCCTAATGAGTTCTCTAGAAATACATTGAACATACACTCATTTTATAGTACCTACAGCATTTGACATCTAGGGGCTCTTAGAACAGTGCCTGGCTTATAGTAAGTGTTACGAAAGCATCTGTTGCTGTTGTCATGATCATCATCATCATTTGTGTAATGACCTATGTACCTGTGTCTATTCTGTATAGGCATTAGACAACAAGCTTCTCCAAAGTAGGGATCATGTTTTATTCTTCTTGATATCCCTACTACACTGAATACTGCTTTAACCTCAAAAGCATTCACTAATAAATGAATCATTCAATACATAAATGAATGCAAGAATGAACAGTAAAATAATTGAGAGAGTAAATAAGAGCAAATAGATTGGTTGGTCCTTTTCTCTTCTGCTGTGGTCATCCGATCATTTCCTTAATCTCTTGCCAAGCTGTTGTCAAGTTTGATTTGTGACTTTGGTGAAATATATGCTGGCTTTTAAAAGCCTTATTAATCTCTTTCTTCTTGCTAACTTGCATTTGGATAATGCAATGCTGAGGTGGTATGTCTCCGGGATAAATTCTGGTTTTTCTACAAAATGAAAATAAAGTCTAGTTTGGGCTAGATAAATGTGAATCTAAACAAAGAAATGAGATTAGCTTCACGATCTCATCTGTGTGTGAGTGTGTGGTGTAAAATTGTCACACAATATTTACCAACATCCCTGAGGTTTTGATTCAGGGATTCTCAGCTTTTATGAGACTAGTCACCTTCTTTACAAGTCCACAGCTGCAGTTCTTACCCATAGAAACTT
The DNA here is from genome assembly GCF_000001405.40 of Homo sapiens. NCBI lineage: Eukaryota > Metazoa > Chordata > Mammalia > Primates > Hominidae > Homo > Homo sapiens. The sequence goes on along the minus strand of NC_000010.11, from coordinate 19,909,124 downwards.
GGTTTCTGAGTAGTAACTCACACTATCTAAATTCATGAGAGGTTGATATACACACCAGAATGCTGACATTTTCATGAACACACATCATAGGAAACAGTCATAAGGACCACTTTGCTAGTGTATAAGTTCCTTGGACGGAACTTTATTTTGGTGGTCAAATTATAATCAAAGTTGTTTGGTGATCAAAAACTCAAAACTAAGGATAATTAGGTGGTCTTAATATAGCAATGCTCAGCAAAGAAAAGCAAGGTCGCCTTCTCATTGTAGGGACAGAGCTTTCTGGGGCCTCTCTTTAGAAACTCCCTTCCCTGGAAATACACAAAGACCCATGGACAGTATCCTGATGTAGTCTCAAGAACTGCTGTGTGATGTAGTCTCAAGAACTGCTGTGTGGAATAAATGAGGTAATATACATAGGGTATATTGTCAGGTAAGCCATAGCACCACTGAGAAATACAAACACAATCTTGATCCTAAACTTACATTCACTATGTCTTCTAACTGATCCCTGAGAATACCTTTGACTCGTCAGAATCTTAATATGTGCATTTTTTAGGAGTGTTAACATCTCCTGGGCTCCAAGCAAAGGACAATTCAACTCCTATGTTAGAAGAATGTTCTTAATCAGTGACCCTAACTTCCACCCCCATCCCTCTCTTTTAGATATAAACTTTCAGCAGTACATTATCTTTTATGTTTAATAACTGCTTATCAGAAAACAGAAAATACTTGTGATATTTTGATCAATTAGGTACTTCTAACAATTGTAATCCCAACTCACTCAATGTAGAGAAATAGATCAAAATATTGCAGATTACCGCCATAGAAAACTTCTTAAAATGTCCTATTTCAATTTATAAACATGTGTTTTATTTCAAAGAATGATAAGAAATTGATTAGTGAAAGATTTTTAAACTTAAAATAAATTATGTTGACAGAAATTTTGTGGTATAATAACAATGAAAACATAATTTTAATGATAAAAACATCCATCTAAAAATTCTTAAGATCTTTTTTACATATATATATTTAGTAAATAGTTGTGAATTATAAACTATTTTTTAATTGTTTCATTTTAAAGAGTGACATCCCGCTTTTATAGTCAGAAATTACTCTTTTGTAACACAGCGATTAAATCTTATAATGAAAGATTTTGAAGCATGAGATTCAGTAGCTGGTGCCCATGTGGTACCAGTGAGGGTCTGAAAACTGGTCAGATTCTGGGTCTGTTTTGCCGACAGACTTTCTGAAGATGAGAGGTGTGTGCGTGAGGTTCATGGCAATAAAGTTAGAGCCAAGGAGGGAACAGTCTGTTATTAGCCAGTCCGATACCCCTTTTATGTCAACTGTAAAATAACCGAGGAAATAGACAGGTTTCCACAATCTTTTAAGTGATGTACAAGAAAAGCATTTGAAGAGCACTGGAGTAAGTTGATTTCCTGTTTTCTGTTGAAGCATTTTCTACTAAAAATGTCAATGTTGCTGATTTAGCCACAGATTTAGGAAAGCTAATATAATAAGGTATGGTATGTTGCCATTGCTTTCATGTTCCATGACCTCCTTAATCATATTTAATGCTATTGCTTAGGTGTGGTTATTTTGCTGTTCTGCTTTGTTTTGCAGATCATGGACTGAGTCTGTCTTCAGTTTGCCTTTTCATAATGTTGATCCCAGAACACTATCCTTCGCTGTGTTCCTGTGCTAACTTGTTGATTTTCCTACATACTGTGAAGGTGGGGAGAGGGTGAGGACATCATAAACAAGGATGGAAACATCTTGGGACAAACAACAGAATAGTCAATGTTACTTCTGGATAATAAGACACAAGTGGTTAAACCTTAAGCTTTTTTAAAAGTGTTTATTGGAACGAGAAACAGCAAGATCCTTAAAGGAAATGATCATGGAGAGTCACCACTATCATCTTAAGGCTAGAATTTCAGGCTCTTAGCGCTCAAGAAAATAAAATTCTACTTCCTGAAAATCAAAGGGAAATTTAATGAACACATTTCCATGGAAAAAAATGATTACCATGCCACAATAAATCTTCCTAGGAGTTACACTGCCATCTCTTTGAAGCTGACCAACTTTAATTATTGATCAGTTGCATGCATGCTTCCTTGCTTGGGAAAAAAAATAGAAAAGAAAATATCAGAACCCTCTAATAGGTGACAGACAGGCTATCACACATGACTGTGCAGTCTGTTCACTGTCAAACATAGGGTGAAGAATGAGAGGCATAGACATTCGGGCTCCAGGCAGACAGAAGAGTAACGCTTAGGATTTTAGGGGAACAATAATGCCCAAATGTCATTTTATATGTGAAAATCTTCTCTGACCACCTCATTTAAAAGGGCAGCAACACACACACGTACACAGCATTAAGTATGTCTTTATTATCTGTATTTTTGGTGCTGGGGCCTTCTGACTCAGGAGAAACTGCCCCTTCCTGGATTAGTCCCTTCCTAGAGATAGTAAAAACCCCTGGCCTATGAGCACACCTGTGATATGCAAACCAACCAATCCATGACCCACACCCCTAACCACCTCCCCTATGGGGCTCTCACACAATCACTGTCCACCTGCCCTAATCTCCCCAGAGTCATGTAACAGGCAACTAAGGACAGTCCCTATGCCACAGAATCCACTAAAAGTATTCACACTAGCCAATCCAGAATCTGTTTCCCCTGCCTCACCTGTTTATTTCTGCATAAACCATAATACAAGCTCTTGTCCACATTTTCCTTTTGCTCATCTTCCTCCTGACTGACCCTGGTGCTTCCCCACGTGGCCCTGCGTACTGTGGCATGATATGTCTCCTTCTCCTGGGATCTGTGAGTAACAAACTATCACTCAGTGCCAATTGTTTCCTAATCCACTGGCCACCCTGTGCCTGAATAATAATAACACACATCTTACAACACACACGCATGTGCACATACACATGCACACACACACGTGAACACATATACACATGCACTCACACTTTAGTCCCTCTCTCTTCTTTATTTTGCTCCATACCACTCATTACTGTCTAACATGCCCTATCATTCACTTTAGTTTGTGTCTGTTTCACATCACTAGAATGTAAGGCCCATCAAGGCAGAGATTTGAGTTGTTTTTTTTTTTCCACTATTGTATCTCTTCAACACTAGAACAGGGCCCAGATATATAACAGATTCACAGTAAATCTTTGTTGTAAAAATGAATGAACTAGAAATAGCCTCAATAAATGGTTATTCCAACTTACCAACTACTGTCAGAAAGACTGTCTTAAAATCTTCTACTCAAAAACTAAAATCATGGTATTTTGCAGAGATGCCCTAAATTAATTTGGCTTATATCCAACGACACCAGGAAAAAAGTCTAATATTTTGTAACTTCAGGGTACCTTTTGCAATTAAAGAATTCATTCTAGGGTATTCAAAAGGAGCTAATTATTCTAAATCATAATATAATTGGGAGTGCAATTGAGAATTTTCTATGGCTGACTGGTTGAATTAGAAAAGCAAATCCAAAAAGCACTCAGTATAGGGACCCTCAATGTTTGCAAAATATCACCAGTCCTGCCACCTTTCCCCACACTCCATTGATTTTTAAGTATGTGAGTCTTCCCAAGATCACTTACTCAGAATGCCTCCTTTGGGTCTCTTACAAGAGAACCCCAAAACAACCTTTAATTGCTTATTTCCCAGAGTCTATCAAAAACCCAGTTAGGAGAAATAATATTTACAAAGAATGGCTTAAAAATATCAGTTTTGCCAAAAGTTTTACATCTCAGTAAACCCAGACCATCAGAGAGCTGGATGTTTGGACCATGTTTCTTTTGGCCTCTAGTTAAATTATGTCCACTGACTATCGTTTTGGATTCATGGCTATGGCTATGCCAAAATCATCCAAGAACCCATTCATACACCAATTAAAATAAACAAAGAGAAAAGTAAACTGTGCTCATCTATCAACAAGGAAAAAATTACAGTGAACCAATCAGAGCACACGAGGTTCTGTTTCCCATTAAGATTTAGGGTGTTACCTATGCCTACACCTTAAAATCAACCTGAAAGTGGTGAGCAGCACAGAGTATTTCTGTGCATATGCGGTGGGTCAAAGAGCACTCTGCAGGAATGATGTCCAATGACATAAAAGGCTAGCACACATTGTGGAGGGAGGGTGTTCCTATTCTACATGACACTAGGTGAAGTGGAGATTAAAGAGGGTCTCACTTCCCAAGAAGTAGTAGTTTATAGCTTTCAAAGATGGCATCTCAAATTTAGGATTCTTACTTATTAAAATCTTTTTCCTAATAACATACATCCTTGGCTTATGCTAAGAAACCCTAACACAGGAAGATGGAGGATAGAAGGCAGGACCACTTGCAGCTCCTGCTTGGACAGACAGAGCAGCATGTCAAAACTCATATCATGAACTTTTGCTCTAAGAACTACCACAGGAACATACCAAGAAATCCAAGAGAATCCTCAGACCCTTTGAAGGAACTGGATCACTGCTACAGCCTTCATGAGACACTGAAAAACTATGAGTCTGCTTGCTTTCTCAGCAGGGAGGCTTGTGGTCTGGGGAAGTTCTCAGCCCTGGTCACCAGTTGCCTGGAAACAGACTCAATGCTGTTGCTGGGGGTGGGCAGGGGTTGGGGCATGGTGGGAGTGAGACCAGCTTTTGGGACTGTGGGCTGTGTGGGAGTGGGGTGAGGCCTGAGACTGCTGGGGTTCCCTCACTTCCCTGGTGACCTGTATGACTCAGCAGAGGCAACCATAATCTAGTAGTAATTACTACTAGACCTGAGAAATGAGATAGACAGCAACACAATAATAGTGGGGGACGTAATGCTCCACTGACTGCACTAGACAGGTCATCAAGACAGAAAGTCAACAAAGAAACAAGGGACTTAAACTATACACTACAACAAATGGACTTAACAAATATTTACAGAACATTCTACCCGACAACTGCAGAATATGCATTAGATTCATCAGCACATGGAACATTCTCCAAGACAGACCATATGATAGGACACAAAACAAGCCTCAGTAAATTTAAGAAAATCAAAATTATATCAGGTACTCTCCCAGATCGTAGTGGAATAAAATTGGAAATCATCTCCAAAAGGAACCCTCAAAACCACACAAATAGATGGAAATTAAATAAACTGATCCTGAATGATCATTGGGTCAACAATGAAATTAAGACAAAAATTAAAAAAATATTTGAACTGAACGATAATAGTGACACATCCTATCAAAACCTCTGAGATACAGAAAAAGCAGTGCTAAAAGGAAAGTTCATAGCATTCATGCCTACATCAAAAAGTCTGAAAGAGCACAAATAGACAATCTTAAGCTCAAACCTCATGGAGCTGGAGAAACAAGAACAATCCAAACCTAAACCCACCAGAAAAAAAAAAAAAATAATGAAGATGAGAGCAGAACTAAATGAAAGTGAAACAAACAAACAAAAATATAAAAGATAAATGAAACAAAAGAAACTGGTTCATTGAAAAGATGAATAAAATTGATAGACCATTAGCAAGATTAACCAGCAAAAGAAAAAAAATCCAAATAAGCTCAATTAGAAACGAAATGGGGGATATTACAACTGATACCACAGAAATACAAAAGATTATTCAAGGGTACTGTGAGCACCTTTACGCACATAAACTAGAAAAACCTAGAGGAGATGGATAAATTCCTGGAAATATACAACCCTCCCAGATTAAACCAGGAAGATGTAGAAACTCTGAACAGACCAGTAACAAGTGAGATTGAAATGGTAATTAAAAAAAAAAAAGCCAACAAAAAAAGTCCAGGACCACACAGATTCACAGCTGAATTCTATGAGACATTCAAAGAAGAATTGGTACCAATGCTATTGACACTATTCCACAGGATAAAGAAAGAGGGAATCCTCCCTAAATCATTCGATGAAGCCAGTATCACCCTAATACCAAAACCAGAAAAGGACTTAACAAAAAAAAAGAACCTACAGACGAATATCCCTGATGAACACAGATGCAAAAATCCTCAACAAAATATTAGCTAACTCAATCCCACAGCATATCAAAAAGATAATCTGACATGATCAAGTGGGTTTCCTACCAGGGATGCAGGGATGGTTTAACATATGTAAGTCAATAAATGTGATACAGCACATAAACAGAATTAAAAATGATGTGATCATCTCAATAGATGTAGAAAAAAGCATTTGACAAAATCCAGCATTCTTTTATGATTAAAACCCTCAGCAAAATCAGCATAGAAGGGACATACCTTAAGGGAATAAAAAATATCTATGACAAATCCACAGCAAACATTGTACTGAACAGGGAAAAGTTGAAAGCATTCTCCCTGAGAACTAGAACAGACAAGGATGCCAACTTTCACCACTTCTTTTCAACACAGTACTAGAAGTCCTAGCCAGACAATCAGACAAGAGAAAGAAATCAAGGGCATCCCAATTGGTAAAGAGGAAGTCAAACTGTTGCTGTTTGCTGGTGATATGATCGTATACCTAGAAAACCCTAAAAGCTCTTCCAAAAAGCTCCTAGAACTGGTAAACGAATTCAGCAAAGTTTCAGGACACAAAATTAATGTATACAAATCAGTAGCTCTGCTATAAACCAACAGCAACCAAGCTGAGAATCAAATCAAGAACTCATTCCCTTTTACAATAGCTGCAATAAAATAAAATAAAATAAAATACTTAGGAATGTACCTTACCAAGGAGGTCAAAGACCTCTACAAGGAAAACTACAAAACACTGCAGAAAGAAATCATAGATGACACAAACAAATGCAAACACATCCCATGCTCATGGATGGTTAGAAACAATATTGTGAAAATGACCATACTGCCAAAAGCAATCTACAAATTTAATGCAATTCCCATCAAAATACTGCTATGATTTTTCACAGAACTAGAAAAAAAAATCCTAAAATTCATATAGAACCAGAAAAGAGACTGCATAGCCAAAGCAAGACTGAGCAAAAAGAACAAATCTGGAGGCATCACATTACTGAACTTCAAACTATAATATAAGGCCATAGTCTCCCAAACAGCATGGTACTGGTGTAAAAATAGGATAGGCCAATGGAACAGAATAGAGAACTCAGAAATAAAGCCAAATACTTATAGCCAACTGACTTCAACAAAGCAAACAAAAACATAAAGTGGGGAAAGGACAACCTATTCAACAAATGGTGCTGGGATAATTGGAAAGCCACATGTAGAAGAATGAAACTGGATCCTCATCTCTCACCTTATACAAAAATCAACTCAACGTGGATCAAAGACTTAAATCTAAGACGTGAAACTATAAAAATTCTAGATGATAACATCGAAAAACCCTTCAGACATTGGCTTAGGCAAAGACTTCACGACCAAGAACTCAAAAGCAAATGCAACAAAAACAAAATAAATAGGTGGGACTTAAATAAACTAAAAAGCTTCTGCACAGCAAAAGAAATAATCAGCAGAGTTAACCGACAACCCACAGAGTGAGAGAAAATCTTCACAATCTATACATCCGACAAAGGATTAATATCCAGAATCTACAAAGAACTCAAACAAATCAGCAAGAAAAAAACAAATGATCCCATCAAAAAGTAGGCTAAGGACACGAATAGACAATTCTCAAAAGAAGATATACAAATGGCAAACAAGCTTATGGAAAAATGCTCAACATCACCAATTATCAGGGAAATGCAAATCAAAACCACAAGGCAATACCACCTCACTCCTGCAAGAATGGCCATAATCAAAAAACCAAAAAATAAAAGATGTTGGCAGGGAGGTGGTAAAAAGGGAACACTTTTACACTGCTGGTGGGAATGTAAACTAGTATAACCACTATGGAAAACAGTGTAGAGATTCCTTGAAGAAATAAAAGTAGATCTACCATTTGATCCAGCAATCCCATTACTAGGTGTCTACCCAGAGGAAAAGAAGTCTTTATATGAAAAAGATACTGGCACACACATGTTTATAGCAGCACAATTTGCAATTGCAAAAATATAGAGCCAGCCCAAATGTCCATCAATTAATGAGTATATAAATAAATTGTTTTATATATATATGTGTATATATATATGTATGAATACACACACACACACACACACACACACACACACACATCACACATATATACCATGGGATACTACTCAGCCATAAAAAGGAATGAAATAATGGCATTTGCAGCAACCTGGATGGGATTGGAGACTATTATTCTAAATGAAGTAACTCAGGAATGGAAAACCAAACACCGTAGGCTCCCACTCATAAGTGGGAGCTAAGCTATGAGGAAACAAACGCATAAAAAGGATACAACGGACTTTGGGGGCTCTGGGCAAAGGGTAGGCGGGGGTGAGAGATAAAAACCTACACATTGGGTACAATGTACACTGCTTGGGTGATGGGTACACCAAAATCTCAGAAATCACCACTAAAGAACTTATGCATGTAACCAAATACCACCTACTCCCCCAAAACCTATTGAATAATAAATAAATAAATAAAAAAGAAACCTGAACACAGAAAACCATAAGGCACCCATTATTTCCAAAACTATGTGGATGTTGATAAAAACTTTGACCACTACACTTCATCCTGAAGAAATACTGCACAGTGTTTGCTTTTTTTCCTCACCTAAAGTTGAGGAAAAATTTTGTTCCTTTTAAAGAAATGGCATACATTTTCATAATGGACATTGAGAATCCTGTAACTGTTGGTTTCTCTTTTGCTTTAGTCTTCAAGAAGTTCAGAACCAAAATCTCAACTTGACTAACTGATTGTTTAAAAGAGGTGGCTCATAAGTTGTCATTCCAAATGCCACTTCCCACCATTCATCTCCCAGGCCCTCCTTGATCTTCTGTTCTCCATATTTTCTCTAATTCTCATATTGCATCTATTTGTACTTCAATCTTATTGTGTGCTTTTCAAAATCCTTTGTGGATTGATGAAAATAATCAGATAATTAAGTAGGCACATGAAATCTCACTGGCTATGTGCCTTTGGAAATAATCATTAAAGTTCCTTTAAGTGGGACATAGAAAAATAATGTGGCCAAATTGAAATTCCAAGAAGTGTGATAAATTTCCTATTTTTACGTCTATATCTTTTCTCATTTGTGATGTATCTTGAAGACTTTAAACATAATAATTCTCTAACCATCTAGGAAAATGTGGCAAAAAGTTAAATAACCAGATGCTCTTGACCCAAGAAATATCAAGATTTGAAGTTAACATAAAATTAGAACAGGTGAGCCAGATTAATAAAAAATACTCAAATTAACCCATTTCATATCATGAACACATAAAGGTGTTAAAGAAATCTAAAATACTTAACTAGTATTTATTGTATTAATATATACTGCTAATTTAGTATCCTATCATCTTTTCATATTTGGCTACTATATGAAGTTGAATGATTTATAGATTTTTACAACTTCACTTTTTCCCCATAAGAATTTAGTGATACTTTCAGACCAAATATATACTTAAAATTTACAATTACTAGCAAACTATTGATCCTTTTTATACTTGGTGGTGACTCAAGCTTCAAAGGTCCTTTCTGAGGCGTGATAAGATTCATGAGTATTTATTCTCATATAATACGTGCAATCAAAAAATCCTGCATTAATTTTGTAGAAATGATGTCTTAATTAGGCAACAGTTGGTAATTTAAATGCCAAAATGTTTAATTATCAGAACATCACCAGCTCTAGTAGCAGAAGAAGGGCAAGCAGGTTGTTTGATCTTCATAAACTACCTGGTTGGGAAAGAAATCGGACCTTATGATAACTTATTCTTATTCCTTAAGTGAATAGCATATCAATGAAGTGTGCACATTTTACATAAGTGTAATGCAAAATTATGAGAAGCAGCTTTAAGGGCAAAAGTCAGATAAACAACTGGTCTGAGAGGCCTCAATGGGACTGGAGGTGATTCTCTCAGATGAAAACGAAAACCACATGAGCCAGGGTGGAAGAGGAGGAGCAGGAGACAGGCAAAGAAAATGGTTACCTTCCCCTTCGCAAATCCTGAGTGAATTCTACATGTGGTTAATGGGTCATCTTTTGAGTTTCTGGGTTGTTTTTATTTTATAATGTATTCATTTCTATTTCTCTTTTTGTATTCTAGCATAGACAAAGTGTTAAGCAGTTGTAAAACTCCCAAGGGCAAGAACTCTGTATATGAAATCCAGCCCAGTGGCTATAAAGTAGCTTCCAAGTAAATATTTGTTTAATTCACCCACTGTAGCTTCCAAGTAAATATTTATTTAATTCACCCTTCAAGCTTTATTTTAATATATATTTCATGAATATCTGTTGCGTATAAGAAATTTTTCTAGGTCAAACACGTCTATGGGCAAGGAGTAACTAAGTACGCTGGATTTTGACAATTCCAATTATTTGACAGTGGGACAGGTCTCAACTTCCACTGATCCAGAAACTTCCTCATTTTCTGCTTCCCCGACAAATAGATATATAAGCCATAGGCATTAATCTCTAAATTAATGTCAGTTTTTTCATTGTGGTTAAAGTTTGCTGTTGCTGTTAATTTTCTACCAGCTAGGCTCACCAGACTAGATGAAAATTAGTTTTCGTTGTTGTAAAGTTAATTTTTGTTGTCACTGTTCATTTTCCACCAGTTGTGCTTGCAAGACATATGTGTACAATAAGACCTGTTTTAACGTTTCCAGACACTATATAGTGTAAAATTCGTAAGTGCAGCGCGAGAAAGAGAATTTACCTATATATAACCAAAACAAACCTGATGATTATTATATCTAAATTCCTTGATGTCAAGTTTAAACTGTCTTTCCTGGGATCATTTGCACTCTAAACCTTAACATCACACAATATACTCTAGTAACAAGCCTGCACATGTGCCACCTGAATCTAAAATAAAAGTTGAAACAAAACAAACCAAAAAATACAAATAAAAAATAAACTAGCTTCCCTCTTCTTTGTATTTATTGAGCGAATGATTCAAGGTTAAGCTTTAAATTGTCTGTCTACTTGGAAATAATATTATTTATTTTTCTTTTCAAAAAATCAATAATAAATAAACTTTCAAGTATGTGGTACTCAAGATAAAATAATTTCTTAATGAGTTTGATGTTACAGGGGAAACAGGTATTTTTTTCAGTTTCATTGATTACAGAAGAAGATAAACATGATAGAACTTTCATTTTCGCAAAAACAAATCTTGCAGCTAGTCCTTCTACTTAAAAATTTTTTAATTATATTACTAATAATGAATGTTATTACATCTGAAAATTATCATATATAATCCCACATATTCTCAAATTAGGGAGATGCAACATCTATTGCTAGCCCTGTAACTAACTGGCTCCAAGGTCTTGGACAAATCATTTAATTTCTCATGGTGTCAGCTTTTCACATGTAAAAGTGTTTATTTCACATGTGTAAGTGTTCATTTAAAAAAACCATATTTTATATATAGTCTTAAAAAAGCTTAAAAATTTAAACACAACACAGAAGCATGTACTTATGTTTTCTGTTCCCTAAACTGCTTTCCTAATTCCCTCTTGACTAAAGAAGGGAATTGGCCCGGCGTGGTGGCTCATGCCTGTAATCCCAGCACTTTGGGAGGCCGAGGCAGGTGGATCACCTGAGGTTGGGAGTTCGAGACCAGCCTGACTAACGTGGAGAAACCCCCTCTCTACTAAAAAAAACAATACAAAACTAGCCAGGCATGGTGGCATATGCCTATAATCCCAGCTACTGGGGAGGCTGAGGCAGGAGAATTGCTTGAACCTGGGAGGCGGAGGTTGCGGTGAGCCGAGATCGTGCCATTACACTCCAGCCTGGGCGACAAGAGCAAAACTCCGTCTCAAGAAAACAAAAAAAAACAAAAAAAAAAAGAGAAGGGAATCATGGAAGAGACATGGAGACATGGAGAAAAGAAACAGACTCATATCATTCTGAAATACAGAGGCTCTTTAAACAAGATGAGTCGTGTACTCACAGACAAAAAGAGCTTTGCTGATAAGAAAAGAGTGTAAAACTCCTGAGGGCAGAAACTTACGTGCAAGAAACTGTTCTAGGTGACAGGGGACTGCAGTAAAGAAATGGGTAAAATTTCCCATTTTTAGGGAAGTTATGTTTTAATAGGGAGTAAGACAATAATCAAGTAAATATGAAGAACCTCAGGTGGTACTAAGAGCTATGCAAAAAATTAAGCAGACAGATGGATACATTTTGGGATTTGTGAGACAGAGAGGCTACCATGTAACAAAATGCTCAGGAAAGACTTCACTGATAAATTGAGACTTGACCAAAGACCCAAATAAGTTGAGAGTCTGAGCCATGCAGACACCTTAAGGAAGAGTGTTCCTGATGCCATTTTATTTTACTGTAATGGCACTTGTAAATTTCTGCCCAAAATTATCTCTCTTCCTCAATCATAAGTGTTATTTACCAAAAGCCCACCATTGTGCAGAACTGCCATCCACGAAGCTCAAATATAAAAAAATCAAAGGTAGAAATCTGCCTAGCAAAGTGAGTGACAGGAGTTTCCATGTCACTTGTTATGACGATATTAATAACAAGCATTTATTGAGGACTTATTAATAACAAGCATTTATTGAGGACTTATTTATGTCTGGTACTTTATACTCATTCCTTCATTCAATCCCAAAAATAACCACGGTATCCAGAAAACCTAGTTAACAAACTGGTGTAAGGTTATACAGCTAGCAAAGCATCCAGCCAAAATGCAACCTAGCTCTGTGTTAGTATTCAAGCTCTGAACTGCAATTCTTGCAATTCTCTGCCTCTCTCTGGTGCCAGACTGAGCACCATGGTTTGCCAGAATGTGCCTTCCCTTCCATGTGTGTGCAAAGCTAAGGTTGTGTGTACAAAGCCAAGGCTGTGTTTGCAAGCTTAGGTTATACAGTCAGCTCATGGGCTGCTTTCTTGGACTCAGCCTGATTGGTGGCTGAGTCAGCTCTCAATGGCTGTGGAAGAACTAAGCCAAGATCATGGCAGATCAAGAGAAGAGGAGTTGGATACCTTTTGAACTGAAAGCCTGGAGTGAAGGAAAGTGAAAGACTGCAGGGTCAGCTAGGGCCCCCCGACCTTGACCTGCTCCAGGACCTTCCTGGAGTGGTACCATGATTCCAAAGTGGGCTTCCTTCTCAGACCTACTTTTCCTTTTTAAAATTTTTTTAGAGACAGAGTCTTGCTCTGTCACCCAGGCTGAAGTGCAATGTTATGATCATAGCTCACTGCACCCTCAAACTCCTGGCCTCAATCAATCCACCAGCCTCAGCCTCCTACAGTGCTGGGATTACAGGCACGAGCCACCATGCCCAGCCCTTAGCATGATTTTTCAAGGGCAGAAGATGATCTCACATGGTGGCTGGAAAGCTTCCTTCAGGGGCCTGACAAAAGGGAATTTCAGAACTGAGCTGTCTAAGGCGGTGGCCACTAGCCACGTGTGACTACTGAGTGGGTAAAATGGGGCAAGTCCAAAATGAGATGTGCTGTAAGTGCAAAATACACACTAGATTTCAGTGATTTCAAATGAAGAATCATGGAAAATGAATACCACACAAGTAATTTTTATATTTGTTACCCAAGGAAATGATAACATTTTTGATAGGTATAATGCCATATATTAAAATAAAATATATTTAAATTAAATCCATCCATTGCTTGGCTTTAAAAAAATATACGGCTACTGGGAAATTTAGAATTGCACAGGAAGCTCACTTTTGCGGTTTTCATCAAATTTCTATTGGACCATTTTGCTGGAGAATGTGGAAACATTTTGATACTGTTCACTTCTGTCCTCTTTACCTGTCTTGAAGGTGCCCAGCTCTACCATGCTGGGCTGGTTTGTCCCCTGGCCCCTGTGACACCTCCAGACCCATCATCATCCTCTTAGATACAATTATGACTTCCCTGTTTCAAGGCTTCCCCTAGTTGTTAAGAAAAGTAGTTCAGTTTCATCCATGTCCCTGCAAAGGACATGAACTCATCCTTTTTTATGGCTGCATAGTATTCCATGTTGTATATGTGCCACATTTTCTTTATCCAGTCTATCATTGATGGGCATTTGGGTTGGTTCCAAGACTTTACTACTGTGAACAGTGCCGCAATAAACATATGTGTGCATGTGTCTTTATAGTAGAACGATTTATAATCCTTTGGGTATACACCCAATAATGGGATGGCTGGGTCAAATGGTATTTCTAGTTCTAGATCTTTGAAGAATCGCCACACTATCTTCCACAATGGTTGAACTAATTTACACTCCCACCAACAGTGTAAAAGCGTTCCTATTTCTCCATATCCTCTCCATCATCTGTTTCCTGACTTTTTAATGATCTCCATTCTAACTGGCGTGAGATGGGATCTCATTGTGGTTTCGATTTGCATTTCTCTAATTACCAGTGATAATGTGCATTTGTATGCCAGAACTTTAAGTATAATAATAAAAAAACCTGATAGTGCTGATGTAACATTGTAGATAAAAATAAAAATACTTATGCCAGTTAAATTAGAAAATATTTGGGTATCCACTGTTTATAACTTAAAATTTCAAAATAAATATTTAAAAATTCAAGTAAAAAAGAAAAGTAGTTCAAATAAAAGGATCTACAAATAGATATGGCCAAATAAATGTCCTCCAACCTACTTTTGTCCCCTCAGGAATATATAAATTCCAATTGAAATTGAAAGTGGTTAAAATTCAAATGAATCTCTGATTCATGGCACCAGGGCATATAGGAGAATTTTACGGTATGTCATAGAAAAGTTTGGGAAACAAATTAAGTTCCTAGGATTGTGCTAATAAAAAAAAAAAAAGGAAAACATCAGTTTTTTGTTTTTGTTTTTGTTTGTTTTGTTTTGTTTTACGTTTCCAAGGGATTTCTGGGATCTTGAAGACTTCAGGGACACTGCAGAAATTTCTTTTCTCATTAAGGTGTACCTTTCTTTTTCCTTGGATGATTCAGAAGGTTTCTCACAGTTCTGCACTATAGCCTGTGGTGCTGTGTCCAGGCTAATTTCTCTTTCTACAGATTGGGCATTGACTTCCTCCTCTGGGTGCTTCTCTGAATTTACTCCATTCGTGGGAAGAGAATCACACCAAATCCAACTCTAGGGCAGTGAAGAGGGTTCAAGGGATTTGAGCTGTTAGCATGGTTGACCCCCTAACTGGTGAAGTCATTTACTAAACTCTACTCATGAATATACAGATTCCTTCTTCAAAGTTCACTTGTGAGGTTTCCAGAAAGGAAACAGTGCTGGGAAGAGCTGTGTAACTAGTTGAGGAGACATGAGTTGTCATTTCTGACATGACATGCTGATGAGAAAGTAAAAAGGCTGTAAAGGATTGTTTCACTTATGACAGAATTTCACTTACAATAACTTCTGCCTCCAAAATTATTTTCAATTATTTATTACATACACATCTAATGCATTCCCCTTAATTTCAGAAGTATTGCTTCTTGCAAAAGGAGCCATTATTATATTGGTCACATATCCATCTTTTTGCACAGAGCTTCCACCTGATTTAAATCAAGCCCCAAA
The DNA here is from genome assembly GCF_000001405.40 of Homo sapiens. Taxonomy (NCBI): domain Eukaryota; kingdom Metazoa; phylum Chordata; class Mammalia; order Primates; family Hominidae; genus Homo; species Homo sapiens. The sequence continues at coordinate 19,893,551 of NC_000010.11, read as the reverse complement.
GTTATCAGGTGGAGTTTATGACCAGGCTTATGCTAGGAAAACTTCTCTCAATGTATTTGTGTTAGATGACTTTCTAAAGACATTTACGACTGAGAATGACCATTACAAAAATGCACACACAGGAATTCACTACAAAATTTAAGCAGTCCACAGACTACTTTATTATAAGCGGTCAGCTATTTCAACCAATGAAATAACTGGATATGGTGCTTTTTTCTTCCAAATATTATTTAATGCTTCCTACAACAAACATCAAGAATATTAGACACTTCGAATGTGTATTCAGCCTTGGAAGTAAGTATACAGTGGGGCTTACAATTCAGCATTATGTTTTTATTCACACTAGACTCCTAGCTAAATGTGTGCTTGTCACAGCCACATCTGAATGAAAGCAATCCCCACACCTAGGCGTCCCCCAACCATAGCGTGCATAAGCCGATAAGATTACCTATGCTAACCCCCTTGAAACAGGATTATTACCCTTCTTTGATGAAGGTCAGAGCCACGCCCTAAGGATGTAATATAAAGTAAATCTAGATCTCTAAATATCTATGGAATTGAACTGCCTTGAGTGAATCTGATTGTGATGACAATGGCAAATTGTAACAGTGGCAAAAAAAAAAAAAAAAAGACCATTTCAACTAGGCCAACAGTAAGAAAGCCAGGCTCCTCCTGCTGTCTGATTGGGTCTTAGCTCGTACTGTATACTAAGGGTTTTATTTATAGATAAACAAAATCCTTATTGAGACTTATTGTTGTGCCGGCCCAGCAGAGAACATCAAAACATATTGCTGCAGAAAGTGACCATCAAATACGGGAATGGTTTGCAGGAGAAAGCAGAAGAAATCCGAAACTATAAGAAGTCTACCTTTATTTATAAAAGCTATCTTTCCTTTAAATACAATTCTACTATAGGATTGGGCTTTTATAGCCAAATATGAACTCATAGGAACTATCTGAGTTAAGAATTTACAGCAATCAATATGCCTAGACATGACTATGTACATAGCATTAAGCAATTTCAGCTGGAGTCCTAGTCGTAACTTTACATCTGAAGTCTTCCTGCATAGAATTATTTCAACAAGCATTTTTGGCATGTGATCCACAAGCAAGTTATTTATTTATCAGCACTGGGCGGGTAGTGTGGCATAGTGGTTAAGAGCGGATCTTGGAAGCCAGGCTGCTTGGGTTTGAATCCCAAGTCAACTTCTTACTAGCTGAATGACTTTGGACAAATTAGGTCCTTCAAGTCCACCATGCCACAGACATTCGCCTCTAACACAGAGATAATAATAGCACAGACCTCCTTAAGTGGTTGTAAGAATTCACTAAGAGCCCTTAGACAGTGGCTGGCACTTAGTCAAAGAAATATTTAAGTATTTATTAAGTATTATTGTTATATGTAAACATTTATTAAGTAGCTACTGAGTACCAGGTATATATGATTTTTACAGTAAATATTAATGTAACTTGACTATTTCTCCACACTGTCAATATTAATATTCTGTCATTCTAAAGTCCCTTGTTTTACTTTAATGAAAAGTAGTGTCTCTTTGCATAAGTTCTTTTTTCTATAAATAAGCAAATTAAGAGGGAATGATCTAATATGAGAATAAAGCTAGGCTATTCTTTGTTTCAGTAAGGATCCTTTAACCTATTCTGTAAAAACAAAAATCCAATTTTTTCAATCAAAGAAGCAATTTCACATGTAATATTATTTGGCTTTGGCTTTGTTGAGAATTTGAAGGTGAAACCAATTCTTTGGTTTATTAGACTTGGGTTTTACTTCAAAAACTAAGTTATAACAGCTAAACGAAATTAATCTACAAGCGAAAGAGAAGTTTCCTCAATCATGCCTAGCTTTATAATCGCTCCAGAGGTTACCGACCTCCCAAGGGCAGCTGGTCTAAAATTAGGCCTAATCTCTTTGTAGGGAAGACACAGGAAGCTTTTAAGGAGGAGGCAGAGGTGGAGACCCATGGCTTTCTTTTTCCAACGCCTGCAGTAGGTGCTTGAGGAGTTAAGGAGCACAGCTCAGAAAATAATATTTCCCATGTTAGACTCTGGGATAATGTCATTCAAAACTCTATAGCACAATCTAATAGATGTGAATGGTAATTACGGAAGATTGTGGAAGAAAAAAGGGAGAAAATAGAAAGAGGCAAAGGAAAGTGCAGGCGAAAGAAGGTAAAAAACCAGCTGTGTGTGGTACTTTAAATTGGGACACAGAAAAATGGAAAGCCAAGAAATCGTGTGCTTTTACCCACATGGAGTGACACACAAACCACTATAATATTGCATTTTGGTATTACTATCCAGAGAATAGAAATACTAAGTACCCAATACTTTTTTGTTGTTTTTAAGGACAATGCAGCATATTTTGCTTTATTCTAACTCCTCAACTGGGTACTTATATTTTTCAGGGGTGGGAGCGCTGGACAGAGAAAGACATAAAAGAGAAGCAATCACAGATGTCTTGCCATTGCATAGGAAGAAGACTGCATGGCAGATCAGCAAGAAAGAAATGAGGTCAGAAGTTAGACCCTACATGGGAAAGTCAGAAATGATGGAATCTCAAGGAAAGCAGCAAGGAGTGGGACAAGAATTTCCTGGAGCTGAATAGTTTCAAGTGGCTTTTATGTATTCTAGGCTTCTACAAGCAGGGAGCATATATATGCTGGGAATTATCAGTATCACTGAGAGAAATACATTAGTTATATACAGATGCATACACATCTAACTATATTGCACAAGTACAAGAAGTCTAAATGGTATTAAATAATTAAATAATTATTCTATGTACACATAGTTCAGTTTAAAATGTGGGGTTTAGCCGTTCTTGATTTAAAAAAAAAAAAAAAAAAAAAAAAAAAAAGCAGCCGGGCGCGGTGGCTCACGCCTGTAATCCCAGCACTTTGGGATGCTGAGGCGGGTGGATCACGAGGTCAGGAGATTGAGACCATCCTGGCTAACGCGGTGAAACCCTGTCTCTGCTCAAAAAAAAAAAAACCCCGTCTCAGAAAAAAAAAAGCAGTTCTCAGAAAACCAAATACTGCATATTATCACTTATAAATAGGAGCTAAACATCAGGAACTCATGGAAATACAGATGGCAACAATAGGCACTGAGGACCACTAGGGAGCGGAGGGAAGAAGAGGGGCAAGGGCTGAAAAACTAACTAGTGGGTACTATGCTCAGTACCTGGGTGATGGGATGATTCATACCCGAAACCTCAGCATCACACACAGTACATCCACATAACAAACCTGCACATATACCCACTGAATCTAAAATAGAAATTTAAAACAAAATTAAAATTTTTAAAAAATTAATTAACAAAATGAAAAAAGCAGTTCTCTATCATGACTATGGAGTTTAAAGGAATTAGAGGAAGCCCAGGGCTATCCCCCAAAGTTGACACAGTAGACTACCTGTCCTTCACTCACAGCAGGCTATCAAATTTGTCACAGAGCGGGCATTAATAATTGAAACTGGAATAAATACATGAACAAATGAATGAAGGAGAAAGGGCCCTGAAACGCGAGACTGCCTCTGTTAGGATCCCAGTTCTGCTACTTATTCTACCTGTCACTACTCTACGCCTCAGTGGCTTCCTCTGTAACATCCAGGCTAATCTATAAACCAACAACCCCGTAGTATTTTTGTGAGAACTCAGTGAGAAAATTCAGAGAAAGACTTAACCCAGTGCCTACACGATTAGCCCTCATTTTAATTATATGGGTTACCTGCTGGCACTATTTGGAGTTCATCTCAGAGTACAAAATGTCAAGGCCTCCCTTGATCTATGTTTTTCCTGCCTGTGGATGTCTAAAATTAAGGCCAAGAAACACACTATCTCTTAAAGTTGCAATATTCCAAGGTTTTTGTACTATTTTTACATATTTGTAGTTGGTGCCTCAGTAAGACATGTTGGAAAGGCCACAGATAGGGAAAGGAAAAGAAAGCAAATAAGAAAATAACACTCCATTTTATAACCCTAGCATACTTGTGGTCACTTAATAAGTTTTCTCTTTAAGAGTGCCTGAGTCATTAAACAGGGATACATTTTGAGGGCACTAGGACACTATTTAATTAAATGGCTCCAGCAAGTTATTAAATGAGACCCTAGTGGTTTGAAAACAATTAATGAGTCATTTAATGATTTGCATTCCAGTGTAGTTGGAGGGGCCCAAGTGGCTTGAATGAGTTAATTCACGGTCCCAAGAGCATGATTAATAGCAGGAGTGACATGGTCATTAAGAGAAATAAAAATAACCGGCAATGAAAAGAAGAGACAGAGCTTGTCATATGAATTTGAAGAAAAATAATTTTATATATATATATAAAATGGGATGTTGGGATGTACCGTGTCCCAAAATGATCAAGCACTTTAAGTCATAAACAAGGAGGAAATGAATACTAGTCCTGGATGATCTTTCCAACAAAGCAATGGGTCAAAATTTGGGCTCTATTATATTATCATAAAAAATGTTTCCCAGAGATAATGGTATTTTTTTTCTACTACCCTCTGCAAGATTAAGCCATGGGCTAAACTTGAAAAAAAATGTCTATCAAATTACTCCAAAGTATTTAATTAATGTTCATAAGAGTTGAAATTCCTTTGGAGGTAGTCACCAAAGAATACTGGTTGGCATTGTCAAAACTGTGACATTTCTGTTCTATATACTCAGATAATACATCTTGCCTGATTTCCAGCTCATCTCCCTTTTTAATGACATTTTTTAGTAACCGTGCTTTCCTTGATTTTACCAGCCTCACCCTACCCCTCTGCACATCTCATAGGGATGGCCAATCCCACCTCAAACCTCATCATTTGACAAACTTCTCGGATGTATGTCACTTGGTCACCTAGATCTGTGCAAGTACCATTTCTTCCAATGTTGTCCTTGTCTCTGTTTCATCTGCCTAACTTAAAATGTATCCCTCGCCTGCAAGTGAGCTTCCCTGATAATGACTGCTTCTCTGTGCCCTACAGCCATATTCTGGTTACAGTATTGTCCACTGACTTGCTTTTCTTCCCAACTCCTCAGGCCACCCCTCTCTCAACCTCTCTTAGAAAGTGATCTCATTGTAGGTCTAACTCTCTCTAGGCCACTGCACCCCGCTCTTGGTAATCCATTCCTGTTGAAATGGTTGCCAAAGAGTCTGTTGGAGATCAATAGCCAGAAGAAAAACTACTTGGCCTGAAAAATAAAATCTGGAATTTATGCCAAATCCTAGATACATTTGAATCATTTCCCAGTTGTTCTGTACACTCCAAGAATCAGGGAGTGAAATTTCTATCACCTTTGATCCACCCAGTTCAATAAATATTTGTTAAACAATAATTTCTTATCATTCTTTTGGCAAAGCAATAGCCCGGTCTGCTAGTTTGTTTTTTAAAATTAAAGGTAGGAAAGGAAAGCTCTTCAAAAAGGGAGTGCTTTAATTATAGCAAATTCATTAACAATTTCTCACAGCTGAACACCAAAGCATCTTGCATGTCAGAAGTGGAGTGATAGGCGTGTTCCTCCACAAGACCACACAGCAAACTGCAATTAAAAAATTATACATGACAGAATGTAGGCTGTGCAGAAGTAATTCAAAGTTGTGTTTTCTTCCTTCTTTTGGTTGGCTCAGCATTAATGTCATTTGTAAGTGACTTACATCCTGCTACAGTTGTCTATGTAATTATAAAAAGCTCTCTATTACTATTTCTAGAAAAAATCTATTTTACTCTTACTTATGTGTCAAGTGACCTGAATAAGTTTTAGCACTTTTACACCCAAGACAGAAGGAAATACTGTCTATGCCACTATCGATATTTTGAGTGATTTCTATTATTTCATTCTCTGTTGATCAACAGGAAATACATTTAGATTTTACATGTGTGACATACACTTGTGAACATGCATGCACTCACACTTTTTATTTATCCCAGGTACTCTTGAGGCAACATTTCACTCATATAAATTATTTTCCAAGTCTTCGGGGTTTTTTTTGTTTTTTGTTTGTTTTGTTTTTGTTTTTGAGATAAAGTCTCACTCTGTCGCCCAGGCTGGAGAGCAGTGGCGCGATCTCAGCTCACTGCAACCTCTGCCTCCTGGGTTCAAGCGATTCTCCTGCCTCAGCTTCCCAAGTAACTGAAGACTACAGGCACCTGCCACCACACCTCGCTAATTTTTGTATTTTTAGTAGAGACAGGGTTTTGCCATATTGGCCAGGATGGTCTCGAACTCCTAACCTCAAGTGATCCACCTGCCTCGGCCTCCCAAAGTGCTGAGATTACAGGCATGAGCCACTGTGCCTGGCCTATTTTCCAAGTTTCAGTCACTAGCTTCTCTACTATTATGTTTTAATGAATAACTGATCCATACTCTAGTGTACAGAAAATGTTATTGGCAACTACAAAAGACATAATTAGAAGATTTAAAAACACATACCAATATCCTAACTAGTGGTTTTCAAAGTAGGGTGTTCTGGGAACCTGTAGGTGTCCCTGAGATCCTTTCAGGGGAGCTATGAAGTCAAAAACTCTTTTCATAATAATACTGAGACACTATGTTTTTCATTCTCATTCTATCACAAGTATACAGTGAAATTGTCCAGAGGTTATATGACTTAGGATAGCATAAGAGACTGAATACAGAGGGAGATATGCAAATCTAGTCATTTTCTGTTGAGTTGAACGCTAACATAAATACATATTGTGACTCTTCTAAGTTTTTTCTTTTCAGAATTACAGAATTTTTTCTCATAAAAATCTTATTTATTGCCCTGGCCAGAACTTCCAACACTATGTTGAATAGGAGTGGTGAGAGAGGGCATCCCTGTCTTGTGCCAGTTTTCAAAGGGAATGCTTCCAGTTTTTGCCCATTCAGTATGATATTGGCTGTGGGTTTGTCATAGATAGCTCCTATTATTTTGAGATATGTCCCATCAATTCCTAATTTATTGAGAGTTTTTAGCATGAAGGTTGTTGAATTTTGTCAAAGGCCTTTTCTGCATCTATTGAAAAAATCATGTGGTTTTTGTCTTTGGTTCTGTTTATATGCTGGATTACATTTATTGACTTGTGTATATTGAATCAGCTTTGCATCCCAGGGATGAAGCCCACTTGATCATGGTGGATAAGCTTTTTGATGTGCTGCTGGATTTGGTTTGCCAGTATTTTATTGAGGATTTTTGCATCAATGTTCATGAAGGATAAAGGGTATTCAATCAGGAAAAGAGGAAGTCAAATTGTCCCTGTTTGCAGACGACATGATTGTATATCTAGAAAACCCCATTGTCTCAGCCCAAAATCTCCTTAAGCTGATAAGCAACTTCAGCGAAGTCTCAGGATACAAAATCAATGTACAAAAATCACAAGCATTCCTATACACCAATAACAGACACACAGAGAGCCAAATCATGAGTGAAATCCCATTCACAATTGCTTCAAAGAGAATAAAATACCTAGGAATCCACCTTACAAGGGATGTGAAGGACCTCTTCAAGGAGAGCTACAAACCAATCCTCAATGAAATAAAACAGGATACAAACAAATGGAAGAACATTCCATGCTCATGGGTAGGAAGAATCAATATCATGAAAATGGCCATACTGCCCAAGGTAATTTATAGATTCAATGCCATCCCCATCAAGCTACCAATGACTTTCTTCACAGAATTGGAAAAAACTACTTTAAAGTTCATATGGAACCAAAAAAGAGCCTGCATCGCCAAGTCAATCCTAAGCCAAAAGAACAAAGCTGGAGGCATCATGCTACCTGACTTCAAACTGTACTACAAGGCTACAGTAACCAAAACAGCATGGTACTGGTACCAAAACAGAGATATAGATCAATGGAACAGAACAGAGCCCTCAGAAATAACGCCGCATATCTACAACTATCTGATCTTTGACAAACCTGAGAAAAACAAGAAATGGGGAAAGGATTCCCTATTTAATAAACGGTGCTGGGAAAACTGGCTAGCCATATGTAGAAAGCTGAAACTGGATCCCTTCCTTACACCTTACACAAAAATCAATTCAAGATGGATTAAAGACTTAAACGTTAGACCTAAAACCATAAAAACCCTAGAAGAAAACTTAGGCATTATCATTCAGGACATAGGCACGGGCAAGGACTTCATGTCTAAAACACCAAAAGCAATGGCAACAAAAGCCAAAATTGACAAATGGGATCTAATTAAACTAAAGAGCTTCTGCACAGCAAAAGAAACTACCATCAGAGTGAACAGGCAACCTACAAAATGGGAGAAAATTTTCGCAACCTACTCATCTGACAAAGGGCTAATATCCAGAATCTACAATGAACTCCAACAAATTTACAAGAAAAAAACAAACAACCCCATCAAAAAGTGGGCAAAGGACATGAACAGGCACTTCTCAAAAGAAGACATTTATGCAGCCAAAAAACACATGAAAAAATGCTCATCATCACTGGCCATCAGAGAAATGCAAATCAAAACCACAATGAGATATCATCTCACACCAGTTACAATGGCAATCATTAAAAAGTCAGGAAACAACAGGTGCTGGAGAGGATGTGGAGAAATAGGAACACTTCTACACTGTTGGTGGGACTGTCAACTAGTTCAACCCTTGTGGAAGTCAGTGTGGCGACTCCTCAGGGATCTAGAACTAGAAATACCATTTGACCCAGCCATCCCATTACTGGGTATATACCCAAAGGACTATAAATCATGCTGCTATAAAGACACATGCACACATATATTTACTGCGGCACTATTCACAATAGCAAAGACTTGGAACCAACCCAAATGTCCAACAACGATAGACTTGATTAAGAAAATGTGGCACATATACACCATGGAATACTATGCAGCCATAAAAATGATGAGTTCATGTCCTTCGTAGGGACATGGATGAAATTGGAAATCATCATTCTCAGTAAACTATCGCAAGAACAAAAAACCAAACACTGTATATTCTCACTCATAGGTGGGAATTGAACAATGAGAACACATGGACACAGGAAGGGGAACATCACACTCTGGGGAATGTTGTGGGGTAGGGGGAGGGGGGAGGGATAGCATTGGGAGATATACCTAATGCTAGGTGACGAGTTAGTGGGTGCAGCGCACCAGCATGTCACATGTATACATATGTAACTAACCTGCACATTGTGCACATGCACCCTAAAACTCAAAGTATTATAAAAAAAAATCTCATTTATGTAAAGATGTAGAGGTTTATATTTTTAAAGAAGTTCTTGGGCAATTTTTTAAACTCTCATCTTTAATTTCTGACATAGCAAATATCAAGAGATATAACTCACAATAAACAAATTATTATTAATAAGTCCTCAATACTTTTGAAAAGTTTAGGCCGGGCACAGTGGTTCACACCTGTAATTCCAGCACTTTGGGAGGCTGAGTTGGGTGGATCACTTGAGCTCAGGAGTTTGAAACCAGCCTGGCCAACATGGCAAAACCCCATCTCTACAAAAAAAAAAATACAAAAATTAGCCAGGTGTGGTGGTGCACACCTGTAGCCCTGGCTACATGGAGGCTGAGAGGATCACCTGAGCCCAGGAAGTTGAGGCTGCAGTGAGCCGAGATCAATCACGCCACCACACTCCAGCCAGGGCAGGAGTCAGATCCTGTCTGCTAAAAAAAAAAAAAAAAAAAAAAAAAAAGTTTAAAGGGATCTGGAGACAGTAATATTTGCACATCACTGATCTAAACAGAGATGCCCTTCCGTAGCACTAACAAGTACGGAGGTGGGGGAACACTGGACGACTGAAAGGCACATAGAATTTAATACAAAATGCTTAAACTGAATTTTTCTTTTTATTACCCATTCTTCTCTCTGAATTTTTTTTTCAAGTCTGAAGAAAGCAGAAAGAAACAGCATGAAAAGAGCAGCCAAAAGATTGATCCTAGGAGACACTATTCAAACTATTTCAACATTCTAGAAAAGAAAAGGGGACGTAAGTTCTCAGGATTTTTTTGTGTGTGTTCCTTGTGACCAACCACTCATTTGAGGTCAACCATTATAAACTCATGTAGGAAGTAGAGCAACCTATACAGACATAAAATAGAGAGAGAATGATGATTTTCAGTTTTGAATTTCATGCTATGAATATTAAATCTGGACAAAATAATCTGCATAGTGAAAAGAAGAGGGTGGAGTTTTGATGGCAACTATCATGGCCACCAAGGCTACCTTATAGCTAACTAAACACCTCTCATGCTTTTCACTATTCCATATAAAATACGCACTTTTAACTTGCAATTTTGTTTCTTAAGAAATTTTAGTGGCCAGGCGGGGTGGCTCACGCCTGTAATCCCAGCACTTTGGGAGGCCAAGGCGGGCGGATCATGAGGTCAGGAGATCGAGACCATCCTGGCTAACACAGTGAAACCCCATCTCTACTAAAAATACAAAAACAAAAAATTAGCCGGGCGTGGTGGCGGGCGCCTGTAGTCCCAGCTACTCGGGAGGCTGAGGCAGGAGAACGGCGTGAACCCGGGAGGCGGAGCTTGTAGTGAGCCGAGATCGAGCCACTGCACTCCAGCCTGGGCGACAAAGTGAGACTCTGTCTCAAAAAAAAAAAAAGAAAGAAAGGAAAAAAAAAAAAAAAATTTTAATTGCCAAATTTTCCTTGGTAGTGTAGGAAAAACAAAAGCAAAAACAAAACCAAGACTCAAGCACAAGCAACCACTATATAATGGTGGTTTCATTTTATTTGTTCTTGATACTGTTCTGCTTTTAACATTGTTCAAGGCATAATCTTCGCTGGCCTTGTCAGAATGTTGGGCAATATTGAACTTACATTTAACAAATCTTTCTGACATATGCTACTGTTTATCTACATCTCATCTATTCGTTCAGAGTTGTTTCTTTGAATCCAAGTTCAGAACTTAACATTTGTCCCTCGAAACCTTTCATACTATTATATTTGATTCATCGATTTAGCTCTACCACATAGCTTCGTGACATCCATTTATGGAAGCAGGGCAGCAAGGCTGAAAAAGAAGTACCTGACTTTGGACTTAGACAGAACTGGATTTAAGTCCTGGGTCTACCAGTTGTTGGCCCGATTTTTTTCAAACTTCACTAACCTCTTCCTTTGCTTTTCCATTATTAACCTAAACATTTCCTCGGCTTCCTGATGATGTTGACCCTCTTCTGGGCTTCTTGTTTTCCTTAATTAGAGAATGGAAATTCCCTGACCCCTTTGTCTTTATTGGCATACTCAGGTTAACGTTGCTGCTCTAGAATAATGGATAATAATGCATTGATGTTTATTGTGTGGAGTAGTGGCAGAAATAAACATAAGTGAAATGTTTAAGATCTTAGGAGGAAAAACAAGCAGCTTTAACTTTGCATGAACCTGAATCTTATTTTAAACAGTCAAATTATTTCAGTATCAGCTGGAGTTCCATCATTTAGGAATCCATCATGAGAAACATCTACTAGTCACTTAACTAGGCACTTAGTAAGCACTCAATGTCAACATTACCAGAAACATGTCAAGTATTAACACATGAACTTGAGCTGGAACCAGCAGTCAAAACCTTTCCAAAATATCTAACAACGTAAGATGACTGCATGAAGAAGTAACTAGAAATTAAGATAAGCTAGGCATTCTTTCAGTTAGTTGAGAAGGACACTGAGAATTAGTACACTGTCAATATGGGCTTTGCATAGTAACAAGATGTATAAAATATATGAACTGTCATGACCCAATCATTTAAAATTGCTAATAAATTACCATGCCTTCTACAACAGGAAACTGGAGAAGTTATCAGAACTTTTTGGCAGTTTCAATAATTAGGAAATACATAAGCAAATTTTATTTAGTACTGTCATTATTGAAATTCTTTGACCCTTTTCATTTTCTCAATAATGTAACAAATCTTTAACATTTTTATTGTCACATCTTGTCCAAAAGTAGGAACTTTCCGTTAAAAATTCTGTTATCTGGCATCATATATATGATGTCCATCAGTAAATCTAGTAGATATTCCATTGAATTAGAAAGTGCTCACAGTTACTAATTAAGTCTTTGTAACTAGTCTTGCGTTAAGCATTGAAAGAGTCTCGGTGTAAAGGAGTCAATGGGGGAAAGTGAAAGGCTCCATTCTTAAAAGAAATTGGCGGCCAGGCGCAGTGGCTCATGCCTGTAATCTCAGCACTTTGGGAAGCCAAGGCAGGTGGATCACTTGAGGTCAGGAGTTCAAGACCAGCCAGACCAACATGGTGAAACCCTGTGTCTACCAAAAATACACAGATTAGCCAGGCATGGTGGCACATGTCTGTAATCCCAGCTACTCAGGAGGCTGAGGCAGGGGAATCTATTGAACCTGGGAGGCAGAGGTTGCAGTAGGTTGGGATCATGCCACTGCACACCAGCCTGGGTGACAGAGCAAGATTCCGTCTCAAAAAAAAGAAAAAAAAATCGCATCTTACACATAAATTTCAGAAACTGGAGAAATGGGAGGTAACTGGGATATTGGAAAAAACCCTCAACTCGTTCAAAGATGTAGGCAGGCTCAGAGCTCATTTGAGCACAACCTAATTTTAAATTACTCTTGTGTAATAATTGGAAAATAACATTCTGGATCTCAAAAGATTGTTAAGAAAATTAAAATGAGATAATTGATAAGAAAGGTTTTGCAAACTCCTAAGAATTAAAAACATGCAAAGTTATTTTTATGAATCATCTTTGCTGATTCCTATAGTATGTTAAATGGTTCTTGAAGATGCAGAAATTGAAATTAAACATTCTGGGGGTAATAACAGCATGATGTAAGGTAGAGGCCCTAAAAGAATAAGAAAATGGAAAAAGAATAATGAAAGTGAAGACAGATGATGTTGGGAGAATATAGGTAACTCATGGAAAGTACTGAATACTTTATTTCATAGAAAATTCCAAAATATCACTTCAGCAACATTTCTAACTTTAATACAGTAATCCCTTTTATCTCGAGTTTTGCTTTCCAAAGTCTCAGTTACCCACATTCAAACTCCTGTCTGAAAATAGATGAGGTCAGTACAATAAAATATCTTGAGAGAGAGAGAAAGAGAGAGATTGCACATTTATATAACTTTTACTACACTGTCCTGTTACAATTGCTCTATTTTATTATTAGTTATTGTTGTTAATCTCTTACAGTGCATAATTTATTTAAACTTCATCATAGGCATGTATGTACAGAAAAATTATAGTGCATATAGGATTTGGTTCTATCTGAGCTTTCAGGGATCCCCTGGGAGTCTTGGTACATATGCCCCATGGATTAGGGAGGACTACTGCAAGTATGTTTTTTAAGAAAAGTATAATAGGGTTTTTGTCTCACTGATTCTAAATAGAAAATGATTTTTAAGTATCACTATTCAACTCTGCCATGTAACAGATACCATCATATACCAAAAAAATTATTAGTAAATACACGTCAAAGAGTAGTCACCCAAGCATTAAAGGACTGATTATCATACATTGTGTTTTCAATGTTTTGAAATCCTCAAGTCATGGTCTAAAATGTTGTCTCATGTTGCAGTTTCTTACATGGAATGGTTTTGCTACTTCAAAATAACGTCAATCCACATGAGTCAAAACAACTAAAAGTCTGTTTCAAAACTCACCATAATATTTTTTCTCCTCCAATAACATAACAGAAGGAAAGAAAAGTCCCTAGATTAGGGGTTTCCAAACATTCAGAATGGCCAAGAGAACCCAATCAACTCACTGACCACAAAAATCAGATTGACCAGCCACAATCTTACACTACCTACTTGCCTCCTGAATTACCCACTGAGTTCCAAACTGGGGTCCCATCTTTACTTCCTTCACAGTTTCATTTGTCCTATAGGACACACCTAAATTAATCCTTCTAAAACATACTTTTACTGCATTTTCTTGTTCATGTGTGTGCAATGAATTCCCACTACCTGCCAAGTCAATACAACCGTCTCAGTCTGCAATGCAAGGCCTTCTTTTATGTACCTATGTCTAATATATAAATCACTAAACAAGGGTATTTGTCGAAATACAAGCACTTGGCAAAGTGTCTAGTACACAATGAGCGTTTAAAATTGAATAAATAATGGCACAATTTGATTTGCACCGTCACACATAGAGATATAAAGCTCACTGACTGCCAGAATTTAAATAAAACAGCATCCACATCATTCTAGATGAATAATATTTACCAAGAAATCAGCAAACCTTGGCTGAGTACATTCTATGTGCCCAGCACTCTGATACTCTCATAGTATTTTATAAATCATCAAATCTAACCAGAGCCTAAATATTTCTAATGTAATCAGGCTTACACTTCACATTTTCTTCTTTAGGGTATTTTGGAAGTTGTCGTTTTCAGGGTCTTAATTACCTATCCTATCATTGCTTTAGTCCCCTAAATGAAGGGATGTTATTTTTCCTCTAAATGCATGCTTAAGAAATTTTAATCCCTAGATTCTGCAATGATTCACTGGCTAATGATACAGGCAGAGACAAGACCACTTACTTAAAGACCAACCTGTGTAAGGCAGTGGCATCAATACAAACTAAGGAAGCTTGGGATTAGACTAAGCTAAAAAGGAAATATTCTATACCTTTGTGGAGGAGAAACCCTCTGCTTCTTCTTAATTCCCCATGGTATGACTCAAGTTTACTGCTGAAAATCAAAATGGCTAACGAAAGCCATTTTAAAATACTATGACACCCAGAAAAAGCCACAGTTCGTTTTATATATCTTCTCTAATATGTGGGAGATGACAGGGCAATTTGAAGCTGAAAAGTGTTAGTGGAAAAAAGACACAAAATGATTTATTTTGGCAATAAAAACAAATTAAGTTGTGAAAACTATGCAATGCAACCAATACAACAGAAATACCTTAAACCATATGAGCTTCAATTAACTGTCGGGGGTAAGGATAGCTTATTGATGGATTAAATAATCCAAATGCCAATGAGCACATTATACATTAAAGGAGTTTGCCTAGAATTGACTACTATAGTTATCCAAAGACTTTCTTTGGGAATTCTATCATTCACAGAAAAAAATTATTTTACTTCAGCTAGACTCAAGATCGTATTTACTAATGGAATTTGCAACCTTAATGTTTCTTTAAATGTTTATGCTCTTTTCCAAGAAAATACATTTTTTAAATCCACGAGATGGCAATAAGCTTTTATTTTATTTTATTTTTGTATACTGGTACATGGTTGTAGTTCAGATACTTAGGAGGCTGAGACAGGAGGATCACTTGGGCCCAGGAGTTTGAGGCTGCAATGAGCTACAATGGCATAATCTCATGCCAGCCTGGGTGACAGAGTGAGACTCTATCTCTTTAAAAAAAAAAATCAAGAGTCTGATAAAAAAAAATATGTGATGCCCATATGATATTTTCCAAATATTTATATTCCACATATGTTATAGCCAATAATTTGTAAAAAGTACATTTATAGCTTATAGAACAGTCATTCTTACTTATTTTCAATGACTTGACAAATTCTTTCTTGCTCAAGCCCAGTCTAAATGTCTTTACTATGCATATTCTCAAAATTCATCAGGGTTGATCATTATGGGACATATTGTGGCAATGCTGCTGGAAGCTGCTTAAAGCCTCACCAAGGCACTTACTTTCTGGCATTTTGTTAAGTAGGACATGCTACTCCATTGATGCAAAACCCATGTTGAGGACCAAATAAGAGGGAAGGAAAACTCATTAAAGCTTTAAAGAATATACTTCAAGCACTGAAATAATTAAGGGACAGACTAAGCTATTATAAAAAGGCCCCGAATAGTGGCTCAATGAAGTTACAAGTTTATTTTTCTCTCCAGAGGCAGGCAGGCGGCCAGGCCGAGAGAGTAGTTTTGCTCCATTAGGTCATTCGGGAACGCCGGTGCCATCTACTTCATCGATCCACTAGGGCATGGCCCTTGGATACATACTTGAGGCTGGGTTATCAGGTCCACATTCCAGCCCACACGGAAAGGAAGCAATCTTTTACTTTTTAAAGTAAAAGTAAGAGAGATTTTGCACACATCATTTCTACTCATAATGGGCAAAAACTTAGTCACATAGTCATATCTAGATGCATGGGTGTATGAGAAAATACTTCATAAGCTAATAAGCCATGTGCCCAACTAAGAATTGTATTACCCTGGAAGAAAGGGAGACTGAGTTATGGGGGCGAAGAACAATCTATGGAGTTGGATTTGAATACAAACTAATAGAAATAATGTTGACCTAGAAAAACTTTGTCAAGTCCCAGTTTGCTACAGTTATATCATCTAATTCTCTCTCTCCCTCTCTCCCCTCCCTCTCTCTCTTTCTCATTCTATCTCCCTTCAACTCCCCTCCCTCTCTCTCCTCATTCTATCTCACTTCACTTTCCCTCCCTTATTTTACTGATCTAAAAAATAAATAGCTTTTATCAGAATATCACTAGTGTTATTTTACCACCACAGAATTCAGTGATCAATTTATATTCGGTGAAATGCAAACAACTTATTGAGGTCATCTTCAAATCTTTAATTGAATTTTCATTTTAGATAGAATCACATATTTTCTAACCTTCTTTCAATGTGGGCAATCTATGGCTAATATTAATTACCAGAAGATCAGATACGTTTTTGTACGAGTTTTTTTAAGTACCTGCAATGTAATTTGTAATAACACCTATGAAACATCTGAGTTTAACAACTTTAAGCTAGCCAAAAGATAATATTTAACCTGACAACAGTTACAGTTGTTAGAAACAGAAATGCTTTTATCTGCTATGCAACATTGTCATAACTCAAAAATCTATGAAACACTGTGAAATTAAATTGAAAAACACTGATATACAGAGTTCCTATCACTAGACACATACAGGAGTGATTCTGTCATAACTACTCAGATGTAGTGATACTTTGTTTCTCTCTCTCTCTCTCTCTCTTTTTTTTTTTTTTTTTTTTTTTTGAGATGGAATCTCACTCTGTTGTCCAGGCTGGAATGCAGTGGCACAATCTCAGCTCACTGTAACCTCTGCCTCCAGGGTTCAAGTGATTCTCCTGCCTCAGCCTCCTGAGTAGCTGGGACTACAGGCATGCACCACCACGCCCGGCTAATTGCTTTGTTTCCTCTCTAAAAATTGGCTTTTAAAATCTTTTCCTTTCTTAGAGGAAGATATACATGCAGCATAATGTGGGTTGAGAAACCAAAATCACATCTTTGTATACATTTCACCACAATCAAGCTGAGAAAAAGATCCAGTTTCTGCAAAGGTTTTGAAATGTTGAAGCATAATTTTCTCTTACTGGTTTCAAATCAATTTCAAAGATAGCAAAACTCATTTTACCACAATAGAAACGATCTCTTACTCTGCAATCCCAAATCCTTCCTCCTGACCTATTTTTTTTCCTTCTGGTTCCTTTATTACTCTCCCAGACCCATAGTGTAAACAGGACTTGAAAATAAGAAATGGGGAAGGATAAACTAGGAACCAGTGTTTGAACTCATAATCCCCACCACTGATTGTCCTCAAATTTTGTGGAGTCCGTCTGAAGAAAATGCTCCAGAAAAATGCTGCTAAGGTTATTTTTTTTCAAGAAAAATGTTACAAAAATTTCAGAAATAAATTTGCATAGACTGCTTTTGCACACATCAAAAAAATCAACATGTCAAGCTATTCTCTCTTAATCAAAATGTCCCATATTTTACATGACATTGAACTAGAGAGAGAGGACAAAAATCTCTCATCTCTCTGATTCTCAAATGCTCGTATTTTATTTTATTTTGAAAGGAAAATAGACAGTTGAAGGAAACAAATTTTGCTGTTGATGTCTTAGAAAATTTGAATTAATCACATTTTGGATTTCCATTTCTGCTATAAAACAGAAATTCACAATAAGAACTCTAAATCCTATTTATGTTCAGCTGAGCATTCTGGGAAGAGATTGAACATTGACTAGTGCACACGTGTGCACACACACACCATACAGCACCTTTATTTCCATCTTACTTATCTTTTATTTTCTAGCTAAGTTTTGGACCTTTTACTACCTCTATGACTGTTAATTATCAAGGTCGTTAGCTGGCATAATCCTAACTAGGTTATTCAAAAATTCTACTTAAAAATATTTCTAAAAATGAACTTTATTCCATTTTATCTTTTTAACCTCTTGGATTGTTATTCTTGAATAAAAACCATAGCATTCTATTACATCCATGATGCTCATTACAACCTTCAGTTACCTACTTTTTGTGACACAGTCAATGAGTAAAACTGAGAAAGAGCCGCTAACTCCATCCAGCATTTCTTTCCTGTTTATTTTCTACTGCTGCCATATTATTGAACATTAACCGAAAAACTAAATGGCATACAATTCTGCCTTCTGCACCACTTCCTACATCGGATCCTAAGTAAGCATTATAAGGCTAACCACATACTATGGAGCACCTACGAACTGCTTTGCATGCATGATTTAATTTTTGCACCTTCATTCTGAGAAAAATATGATTGGCTTAAGGAGTGATGCTGTTAGAGGGTGCCAGAGAAGTCATTTCGATGAATCATCTGCCCCATGACGAGGTTTCCTCTACAACAATTCTGACAGTTGCTTCTCCCAGGTCATAAGTAGGTTACATTCCTTAGCCTTGCACAAGAACCTCGAAGAACAGGTGCCAATGAACCTTCCCATCCTCGTCTCTGAAAAATCCCCCAACTTCCCTGACAGTCGGGCCAGATATCCCCCGGGTCCCCTAGACAAGCACTCAGCTTTTCCGGCCTTCTGATCCCTTTAACTGAAATGCTTTCTGCCTCTAACTGTACCTACTAACATCACATATACTCTTTAAAGTTCAATTCAAATGTTATTTCTTTCAAGAAGCCTTGTCTAATAATACCCCAGCTCCTAGAAAGAAAATTCGCTTGTCTGCATCCAACGCATTCAGTCCTTTAGCAATATGATCCTGTTCTCAAGCATATGACACCTTATATTCTAAGTGCTTTTGTGTTTTACTTATTCTTCTCTTAGACCTACAGTCCACTGAGGGCAGGGATCCTACTTTTGCAATTCCTACACATTACAATGTCTTTTACAACGAACAAGATTGAGAGTCAATGACCAGCCGAGGTTGAGCAAAGTAGGAAAGAGCAGCTGATGTGCCCTATGGAACTTAGGAAGACTCTATTTCTAGAAAGTGAGTTGCTCCCCTCAGTACTAACCAGTAAGAGGAGATCCATGGTTTAAAAGAAAATTGTTCCATGTCTGCCTAATAGAAATTGTTTCCAAACAGAAAAAAGGCTTTATCTCAAATGCTCTGCAGGTCTACTGCATGTCGTTTTCCTGAAGTTAGACCTGCACTCTAAATTAAATCATAAATACAAGCTCATTAATAGTCCTACACTTGCTGCTGATTTCATTGGCAGGAGTAACAGAGACAATCCACTGTGATCGTAAGTGTTGCTGAACTTTGCTAGAAAACTGTGTATTGGGTTAAGCCTAATTTAGTGAGAAGAGTTTCATACATCTATTGACAACCTTGCTGAACTGGCTCTGTCCTTCTCTGCCTTCTTTGGCCACCCAGATCCACACCTGAAGTTTTAAGAGTATGGAAATCTGGCCTCAACATAAAGAAAAAAACCTCACAAATCATTTATGGTAAGTCCTCACAAGAACTAAAAAATTGGTTCCCAGAAGTTACTCTCAAACCTCATTTTGATGCCAGACCATTTTAGGGAGTACCAAATACTGCATGCCACCAAACACCCCTAATCTTACTTTGCAGTGGAAATAGATCTTTGTGATACCAAATAAATGAAATGGAATTTCTTATCATGTACATTTTCTAGTAAAAAGTAAACTTTATATAACGTTTTATAAGATATTTTACAAATGTTTTTGTCAAGTCCAGATTTGCTAAAACTACACTTCTGGTTCAATGTGCAAAGGATCATACTTTGACAAACACTGGATTAAAGAAATGGTAACTCTAGCTGGGAACTGTGGTGCACACCTGTAGTCCCAGCTACTCCAAAGGTAGAGGAGAGAGAATGGAGAGAATGGCTTGAACCCAGGAGTTTGAGGCTGCATTGAGCCATGATTGTGCCACTGCACTACAGCCTGGGTAAGGGAGCAAGGTCTCAGTTCAAAAAAAAAAAAAAAAAAAAAAGACGAAGAAGAATGTTAATCCCAACATTCCAGTAGTGGAAAGCTGGATTAGATACACACTCCCTTTAAATCTAAAACCATAATCCACAAAACAAAACAAACAGACCCACAAACTACTCTGTTGAGTGTGCCATCCAATAAGCATGGAATCAGCCAGCATCCCATAGAAGAGTTTTGTTTTGTTTTGTTTCTTTATCATTTCTAAGGCATCTCTAGGCTCCCTCCACCCGAAATCTCTGCCACAAAGCACTCTGGGAACTCCATGGACAAACATCGGTCGTGAACTTCAGTGCACTTTGGAGCACATGATAAAAACACAGCATGAACACCCTTGTTTTGAACCTGTACCGACCGTTTTGCTGTATTAGGAGATTTCCTGTCAAAACAATTCTTTGGTGCCAATAGTCAAACTGTTCTGTTAGGAGTTTTGTAATCATTTGAATCAGCATAAAGATTAGATATGTGGAAAACGGGAGTGAACCAAACAGTCCAGACTCTTTCCCGCACACTGGTGACCTTCAAGGAGACCCAGAGAAAATTTAAAAGCGTGTCCCAGGGTGCAACAAATGGTGTGTTTTTTTTACATTTGGGTTGACTTGTCCCAGGGAACAAGTATGTCCCATGATCATAGCCCTCTTTGCCAGAGAACAGCCTGGAGGGAACTCATGGATGCCGACCCAAGCCCAATCACCCCCACCCTGTCTCTAACTCTGCCCAGTTCCCCTGAGCCCCACCCGGTTTCTTAACTCCACAGCTAACACCCCTCTCCCTCTGGAACATCCCAAACTCCGAACCACATTTGTCTAGGTGTGGCTGAAATGCTTTTACCCTTAGTTAAGCTAAGCCAAAGTCAAAATTATTCAGGGAACTTTACTAAGCACTTAAGGGTAAAACTACAGAAACATTTCAAGTACATAGTGACCTTAGGACAAAATAATTAATGACTGACACCAGCTCTGCTGGGCTGATTCTCCTTATGAGGCCACTGACTTCCAGTCCCGATTTTCATTCTTGCTACATTTGCCAATTTTGACCTATCATGGCTTCTAATAGAGCTGTCACCACTGTCAAGGTGAGTGAGATTTCCTTGACTTTTCAATCCTGCTTTGAGGTGCTCGCCATTATGGGGCTGAACGTCACCTCAGGGATGAAATGGCCTGGGCTGTCTTCTACAATTTCTCTCCTACTTGACCTGCGTTGCCTTTGCAGATGTCTTCGTTCATGTCCTGGACTATTTCATGGCTAATGGTCCCTGAAATTTCTTCTTTAACCTGTTGGATTTTCTGAAGAAAAGTAACTCACCCATTGCTCCAAACCAGCATTGCAGCCTACTCACCCTGAAAAGGTGCCTTTCATTCATTCAATAATGACTTATTAAGTGCCTAACATGCCAGGTACCCATCCAGGTTCTGGAAAGATAAAAGTAAATAAAAAAGACAGAAATGCTTGCCTTTATAGGGTTACACTTAAGGAAATGGGCATATGGTAAACAATGTAAGTTTTTTGTGTTTTTTTTTTTTTTTTTGACAGTTTCACTCTTGTTGCCCAGGCTGGAGTGCGGTGGCGTGATCTTGGCTCACTGCAACCTCCGCCTCCCGGGTTCAAGTGATTCTCCTGCCTCAGCCTTCAGAGTAGCTGGGATTACAGGCACCCACCACCACACCAGGCGGATTTTTTGTATTTTTAGTAGAGACAGGGTTTCACCAGTAGAGACTGGCCAGGCTAGTCTCGTACTCCTGACCTCACGTGATCCACTTGCCTCAGCCTCCCAAAGTGCTGGGATTATGCATCTGGCCCAATATAAGTCATTTCTATGATACACTAGAGGAAAAGACTCATGGGAGCCAAATAGACAAGAAACGGATATTGGATGATCAATCTGCACAATTAAATGGGAAATATCAGGATGGTCCTCACTGATAAGATTATATTTGGAAAGGACTTTTAGCTCAAAGAATTTAAAAAAGGAAACCTTATAATAAAATTTCTCACTGTGATACAATTTGGCACTAACATGATGCTATGGTCTGTCTTCTATGTTTTGACAGCTCTTTTATTTATCTTCTAATTATTAAAGGGTTCATGACGGAATGTCCCCAAGTCAACACAATGTGGTTAAAAGAATGACAAGGTCCTCATCAATTCCTTTGCCGTATATGTGAACAGTTCTCTTCATGAGGTCCTAATTCTTTAGGAAGAAAAAATGGTGCTGTTCTTTAGGAAGAAAAATGGTGTTACCTCTTGCTTTGCTGTTCTTCTCTTCTTGGGACACTAAATACTATAATGTTCCAGCTTCCAAGAGGATCTAGACCTGCCTTCTGTCCCTGACAATCCCTTGTGATGAGAAAGCATTAAATCAGTTCCTAATGGCTCCTAGCAACCAAACTGTCCAGAGGTCAAATCCCAGCTCTGGTCTTGGACAATTCATTCAATCTAAATCTCAGCTTATTCATCTGTATAAAGGAGATAATCGCAGAATCTACCTGATGGAACCTGCTTTGCTGTATGTATTACATGAGATCATGCATGTAAGCACATAACACAGAATCCAGTGCACAGCAAGCAGTAATTAAGTTACATATGACAGATTTTCTCTCCTCATCTGAGCCTGACACCAAACAGGTGTTACATAGAAACAAATGTAACATAATAGTAATAGTTGAAGTACAAATAGTAGTAGTAGGCTGGGTGTGCTGGCTCACACCTGTAATCCCAGCACTTTGGGAGGCCAAGGCAGGCAGATCACTTCAGGTCAGGAGTTCAAGACCAGCCTGGCCAACATGGTGAAACCCCATCTCTACTAAAAATACAAAAATTAGCCAGGTGTGGTGGCAGGCACCTGTAATCCTAGCTACTTGGGAGGCTGAGGCAGGAAAATCACTTGAACCCGGGAGGCAGAGATTGCAGTGAGGTGAGATTGTGCCACTGAACTCCAACCTGGACAACAGAGCAAGACTCTGTCTCAAAAAATAAAAAAAAAAGTAATAGTAATTATAGCTAAGCTTCATTTAGTACTTACTAATGCCTGGAAACGATAAAAGCATTTGCATTTTTCATACATTATTTCAGTTAATTCATCACCTTTAACTATATTCAGAGGTGAAGAACAGATGTCACATTTTCCACTTTGAATTTTGCTGAACTACCCTAGTTGATTTGACCTTTTCCCTTTGATGTGCATTTCTCCTCCTCCCTGTCTATCTTTACTTAATTTGGGTTTTACGCTGCAGTATCTCTTCATTTCAATCATTTTATAATAGTCACTTGAATAAGACCCCAAGTTTGTTCCCTTTGTCGCATTTGTGCAAAACATTACAAAGAAATCCTTACTTTCTCTTAGGGATCATCCTGCTTTCCTCTCCAAGACTATGTGAGTCTCACCAGAAATTACCTTTATCTTGTTCCTTCAAGAGAATGTCCAAACCCCCATAGAGTGCTTTTATAAAACAACATCAAAGGATAAGCTCATAATGACTTATTAAAGGCTTTAATGACCATTGCATTATTGCATATTCCTCCATAATGAATCCTAAATTATATTTGCACTTGTTTTCTAACCAATAACGTAAGGCGAGCTGGCAGTGGCGGGGGAGTGGGTGGTGGGGGAGTTAAAAAAAATTAAAAAGATAATAATAACTAACAAAGCTATAGCTATGGTTCTAGCATTGTTATTACGTTAAATAAGATAAAAATAAAACACTTCAGATAATTAAATACAAATAAATACTATTCAATATATTAAATATTAATTAAATGTTTAAATGTAACATTAAAAGTAATATAATAACTAACCACATTGTGCTTATTCTTTAATTTAATCCTCACAAGATTCCTATGATATAGTTATTAATATGTTGTACAAATGAGAAAAAATGTTGGCTTAGAGAAATTTAATGTACTGGTCTCCCTCCCTCCCTCCCACCCTCTCCCCCCCCCCCCTTTCTCTCTCTCTCTTTCTCTCTTTCTCTCTTTCTTTCTTTCTTTCTGGTAGAGTCTTGCTCTGTTGCCCAGGCTGGAGTGCAGTGGCAGCATTTCAGCTCATTGCAACCTCTGCCTCCCAGGCTCCAGCCATCCTCCCACCTCAGCCTCCCAAGTAGCTGGGACCACAGGTGCACGCCACCACACCTGGTTAATTTTTGTACTTTTTGTTGAGATGGCGTATTTTCATACTTTTTGTGAGACGAGGTTTCTCCATGTGGCCCAAGCTGGTCTCAAACTCCTGAGCTCAAGTGATCCACCCACCTTGGCCTCCCAAAGTGCTGGGATTACAGTCATGAGCCACCGCACAAAGCCCCTTTTCACAGTTATTAAAGGTTGAAAAGTATAGAGCCAAATCTTGAACCCTGAGTTCTCTAACTCTAAAGCCTATGACAAGTCACTCTAATATGCCCATAATAATCTGTGGGATAGGGCAGAAGGTGCTAGCATATTTTTAACAAAAAAATTATCACCGAGGGTATAATCAAATGTCAACAAAAAACTTACAAGAAATAAAAATATCTTACATATTTTAACTTAAGGTTTGCAGTTTCTCATTAAAAGTTTTGAATTAACCACAAATATGCTTCATCTTGGTAATTTCTATATACTTGGTATGTTTTGAAATAATATTTAAAGAAGAATAAAGTGTCAAGGTCAAAAAGTATATGCTGATAGAGTAAATACACTAAAACAGTTTTCAAGGAAAACAAATGTATTTTATTAAACAGAGGGTAAATTTTTTGAAAATAAATCAACAGAATATACACTAGTAGTGGTCTCTACCTACTGACTGGGTAATTATGTAACTAAATATGAATTTAAAAATAAGGGTCATATTTTTTGTTTCAATGGCATAGAGTTAACATTTTCTTTTCAAGCTAATTTTATAGAGTCAGAAAATGAATAAACTACATTACATTTTGATCAGGTGCAGACATTGCAAGACATTGGTTGCTATTTCCGAGAATGTGCCAATAGTTTGCTAAACGTTGGCAGAACTCCTGGGCACATGGACTCCCTTATTTTAATGCACATGAAGATGACTAGACTAAGCTTCCAAATCTCATATAAAACTACCTATTAAGCTAAATATTGAGAAGAAATGGTCACAAAGAAGGGAATGACAGACACTGGAGACTATTGAGGGTGGCGGGTGGGAGGAGAGAGAGGATCAAAAAAACTACCTATCGGGTATTATGCCTATTACCTCGGTGACAAAATAATCTCTACACAAATTCCCCGTGAAACACAATCTGTCTATGTAACAAACCTCCACATGTACCCCCAAACCCAAAATAAAGGTTAAAAAAGAGCTTTTTCAATTCAATTCAAAAAATATAAAATAAATAAAAACATTACAAAGCCACGTATCACATTGAAACGGGTTCTACAGCCCCCAGATAACAGTTTTAATTTCTAAATAGGCATTGACAAATGACTTGTTTAAACCTAGTTGAAACTTTCTAATATTTTTAATGCTGATATTTTACAGACATTTTATTACAATGTATTTATTAATGTTGACAACAAATAACCAAATTTCAGAGAGGCTCTCCTTCTGATTTTTCAAGGGTACATTTATACATACACACTATATTTTTTTCTGCAGTTTCCAAGGATGAAACTTTACCTCCACCAGATCTTTCTTCGCACATTGAGAATACCCCGAGACTGGTGAGTGAGAGAGGAATTTGAAGATGTGATGCTGTTGGTCTGAATATGGAAGAAGGCCATGAGCCCCAGTTTGTGAGTGGCCTCTAGAAGCCTGCCACACGCCTCCCCACAAGCATGGAAATAAAGGAAAAATTGTGAGTCCCTTCAAGAGAAATTGCAGGTACTTAGTTAGCCTTGAGGAGTCAGGGAGCAACCTGAGAAGTAAGAAGGTAATAATAGCTTAAAAAATAGCCCCCAAGTAAGTTAAAGTTACCCGATGTTTGGCTCCTTATAGAAACTGAACATACCCCTTGACCTATGTCCCTGAGACGTTCTACAGAAATACAGATCTCCACCAGTTGGAAAATGCTGAGCCCTGTCACATAGGCCTCAGACAAGAGGGAACGGAGGCCAGGAGTGGTGGCTTATGCCTATAATCCCAGCACTTTGGGAGGCTGAGGCTGGTGGATCACCTGAGGTCAGGAGTTTGAAACCAGGCTGACCAACAGAGTAAAACCCCATCTCCACCAAAAATACAAAATTAGCTGGGCGTGGTGGTGGATACCTATAATCCCAGATACTCAAGAGGCTGAGGCAGGAGAATTGCTTGTACTCAGGAGGTGGATATTGCAGTGAGCCAAGATCGCAACATTGCACTCCAGCCTGGGCAACAAGATGGAAACTCTGTCAAAAAAAAAAAAAAAAAAAAGAGGGAAAGGAGGACCGAATTCCAATTGTCATTCTTCTTTGTTCTAAATTTCTTCCTGAGGGTCACCTGGATAGAGGAAAACCCACAGGCCAAACTATCATATTCTTTTCTGCTGACCCCAACTTTTTAGACAAAGCCTTGCTTCCTTGACCAATTGCAAATCAAAGAATCTCTAAACTTACCAATGACCTGTAAGACCCCACTTGAAGATATCCCACCCTGCTGGGCCAAACCAATGTATAACCTCCATGTATTGATGTACAATTTTGCCTGTAAGTTCTTCTTTTCTAAAATGTACCCCTGCCTTTCAATTCTTTGCCTCTTGGCCATCTGGAAGTTCAGGTCTTAAGCAGTAGCAGCCTATTCTCCTTGCTTGGGACCATGCAATAATTAGTTCACTTTCTCTTGCTGCAAATCCTGGTGTCAGTATTGTCTTGTTCTGTGCACTGGGTGAATGAACCCCGTATCAGTTTGGGAACAGAATGGGAAATTCTAGGTGGAAATTGCAGATGGAATTAAAGTTACTCATCAATTGACTTTAAGATAGGGAGACTATCCTCAATTATCCATGTGGGCCTAGTGTAATCACAAGGTTCCTTTTAAGTGTGAGAAAGAGGCAGAACAGGAGATTTAGCCAGCGGTGTCCCACGGAAGAAAGATCAGAGAAATGCAACTTTGCCGGCTTAGAATAAGGAAGATGGGGCCACAGGCCAAGGGATGTAGATGAGCTCTAGAAGCTGCAAAAGGGAAGGAAACAAATTCTTTCCTAGAGCTTCCAGAAGGAATACAGCATTTCAACAACTTGATTTGAGGACTTGTGACC
This sequence comes from Homo sapiens, assembly GCF_000001405.40. Lineage (NCBI taxonomy): Eukaryota > Metazoa > Chordata > Mammalia > Primates > Hominidae > Homo > Homo sapiens. Next base: position 19,866,241 of record NC_000010.11, on the reverse strand, counting down.
TCCAGAAATGCAGGACAATAAATTTGTGTTGTTTAAGCCACTAAACAAATAAAGAATACCCTAAGACTACATAAATCAATTATATTGCTATTCAGTTCCACCTCCCAAAAAATACATCTAATTTCCTTTGTTTTCAATCATTCTAAAGAGCCAAGAAAACTACAAATTACCTACAAGATAATTTTTTTGCAATGTATCCATTCCAGTAATTTATTTTTTTCATTGGCAATGAAGTATAAATGAGGGGGGAAAGTGTGAATTTGTGAAGCCAGCAGAAGCATATAAGAATCTTTGAGATGGCTGAAATAATAATCAGGAATGTGGCAATGGTAGCCATGTGCTTGTTAGGAAATTGAGGGAGGATTTAAGGGCATCATATTGTAGGTGTTCATCATGTGTCAGGCAGCTGGAAGTTAAGACTGTGTATTTCCAGAAAGAGAGCTTACAGAAATCTGTTACACAACTGTGAAAACCAACTTTATGCTTACTACTACATTAATGGTTTGTTCTTTCTAAATTTTCCATTTTTAAGGTCTCAGTTCTTTATGAAGCTTCCAAAGATGATCAAGGGCTGAAACAGAAAGTAACAACCTTCAATTAGAACTTTCACAGGAATATTCAGATGCTTGGAGGTACTTTCGACGTTTTTTTACTACCCATTATACCCTGAGAGGCTAAATGGCAGAGAAGTAGCAAAGTAGATGATAATGACGTAGGAAAGACATAAAAACACAAAACCAAAGAGGCTATCTTTGCATCCATTCATACCAGTAATGAGAGGGCAGAACCTCGAGTACAGTAAAGCTTTTTCACTGTTTGCAAAATGAAGCACAGCCCAACTCTACCATTGTCATGTAGAAAAATACATTTCTGAAAAATAACAAAGAGCCAAGTTTTTTCCATCAGTGTTCTGAACTCTTAAGCTCAATATGAAAGCAAAAGATTTTAACCCAAAGTGAAACAGCAGATCACCCAGGAGAGAAGCCACTTGTGCAGGTTTAACTTTGGCTACAGGTGAAGAGTCACTGAGATGTCCCAGCTTTCAGAAAATCCGTGGTCTTACACAAATCTACTTTCCTCCTCCACTGCCTTCATCACTGGGTCTATGCAGAGACAACCTAACAACTACAACTTTGCTGTTAAAACAACTAAAGAAGAACAATGTCCACTTGTCTTTTCTCTCTCCTGTAACCTCCTCCAGCCACATTGAACTGTGGTCCTTTTCCTAAGACATCATCCTCTCTGTCTTCTGTGAACACTGATGAAGTTCACCCTTAAAGGCAAGAATGCCTCTCTTCCTGGCTTTCTCTGGCTTTTCCAACTCTCACTTACCCTCCCAAACTCAGGGGAGGAAGCCCCGTTTGACTCACCCTTTAAACTTACAGTAGGTGTCTCTCAATTCCAACTACAGCCCGACGTGAATTCCTTCCTGAGTTGTTTTCCTACTCCCCTGAGAAAGTCTCTTTACTTGTTTGCCCAGTCCACTTACCTGTGCTCTCTTTGAAGGATCTGCCTCTTATTCATCATTGCATCTTCATTGCCTAGCACAACGCTTATCATAGCTGCTTCATGAATAACAGTAGCACATATAATAAAATGAATTAGCAAATTCTCATCTAGGGTCCATCTTCTCCCATTTTGCCAAATATCAGCATCTCATCAGCACTTCCCCTGAAGCTTTAGTATTAGCAGAAAGATAATATTTTTGATAAAAAAAATTTAAATTGTTCCATTTTTGATTTTCAAATTGTTTAGACTTTATATATTTTCACAAAGAATTTGAGACGAAAATCAAAATCAGGAGACAAAATAGGCTTTCCAAGTGATAGTTTCAGAATTCATCTAAGAAGTGTGCCAGATAGATGCCTATTTTAGCCTAACATAAATATGATTAATCAGCTGAAATCATTCTTTCTTATATTCAAATTTCAAAATCTTGGCAGGGCAAGGTGATTCATTCATAATCCCAGCTCTTTGGGAGGCCAAGGCTGGAGGATTGCTGGAGGCCAAGAGTTCCAGATCAGCCTGGATGACATAGTGAGAACCCTATCTCTACAAAAAAATTAAAAAGTTAATTAACTACATGTGGTGCACCTGCCTGTAGTGCCAGCTACTCAGGAGGCAGAGGTGGGAGAAACATTTGAGGTTACAGCAAGCCATGATCACATCACTGCACTCCAGCCTGAGCAACAGAGTGAGACCCTGTCTCAAAAAAACTTTTTTTAATCTTCCCAGGTTTAATAAAAATAGCGTTTTGCTTCAATTTATGCATTTTGCTCCCTCACCTAAGAAAACAGTATGTTGTATTATACATAGATAATTAGCTTTAATTAGAGACCAACATATATTTCATTAATTATTGTATCTAAATCACACACTTATCAAGTCTAATACTCTTTCCCTCTGATATTAAAAAATTTTTGAATAGTATCTTTGGACTACAACTTCCAAGAAAAAAAGAAAACGGTTTTTACTCTCTCTCATCCAACATACAGCTTATTTATTACTTTGAACTGACATAAAAAAATGCTTGTTAATTTTTAATAAACAAGCTACAAAATATATTAAAATGATATGAAATTAAGCCACGGCATGCATGTCATGTTTCTTTCGGGTACTAAGTCATTAACTTATTCAAGCAAAAATTCCATCCTTGGAGTTATGTGTACAACAAAGCTTACACATGAGGAAGTGCTGCGTGTCACACTTGCCTTTCTGCAGGGCTGTTTGAAGTGGGCAGTGATGCTCCCTGTATTCTAGGATGTTCTGTCTAATATACAATATCTCACAACATCAAATATAATTTCTTTGCAGCCCAGCTATCAGTTTATAAGAGTCAAATGCAAAATGCTCTGTGCAACGTACCAGCCCTGCAAGCACTTCTAGAACATAATGTCAGCCGGCAGCTGTTTCTGAACAATTCCCAGAACTAAATATTGTTTTGAACTGGGATCTGCACAGATGTCTTTGTCAATACAACTTTTGCACAAACATCTACCCAAGATCCAAGATTCATCTAAACAAAACCCGGAGGGAAAAGGGCCCCAAAACATAATAGCACAATATTCACATCCTTAGTTTCTCCGATGCCATTAAAAATTGAAATATGACATGAAGATTCAACGATGAGTGAGGTGGTTCATTTTACATGGTAAAGATTAAAATCACCTCCTCTTACCCTCTAAAAATAATAGCACAAAAGGAAGGTCCCCATATGTTCTTGTCATTTAAAAAGAAAACCAGAACAGGGTTGATAAAAGACAGACACACGCTACTTCCATGTATTATACGAAGCTCTTCACAACCTGCTTCTGCTATTCCTCAGAGCAGATTTACATAGAGTTGCAGCCCCACAGAACTCACCTCCACACTTCTATATTCTGAAAGAATAAGAGATCAGGGCTCTGGGGACTCACGGCAATGAAAAGAAACATATGCAAAACTACAATAAGTTTAAGAAGGCTGGGTATCTGTTGGCAGGGTGTAAATAGATCCTACACCATTTACTTCCATTTTTCCGTGATTGGGAAGTTTCATGTTGAAAAGAAAAGAAAAATGAGTAGCTGTTGCATACTTGTTGTGTAGTGTAGGTAATATAAATGTCTTTACTAGCTATACATAAACCCAGTAAACTTTCTCATTTATGATTCATGAGCTGATTCAAATTCTTAAACTTGAAGAAAACACAAATTAAGAGAAGAGAACCTTCACCCTCTTTGTTCTTCCTTTCCACAATTCTGTTATCTTATTGTAACGCTTCGCTATCTTTACTGCAAATCTTTAGATAACTACTGAAATTCCACTGCCTGAAAGAGTGCCTTGAAAATAGTGAGCACTTAATAAATTTTTTAATGAATAAACAAGTATTGGCTACATAAAATTGTTACTCCTTGGTTCAATGGGACTAATTCCATCACATTTTACATAAAAACACCGTATCTGAGGAACTGGGCACATAAGTGATTGATATAAACCTAGTCACAAGAACCATAAGCTTTTTAGAGAATGTAACTGATTCAAGATGCTAGTTGGATTGCAACACTTTAGTTTAAATAATTTTGGCGGGTTATGCATCAATTACGGCTATACATATAATTCATAATTTTTAATTATTATATTCTTTTGATATATAACTTGCCACTATAAGTTCTACCAAAAAAGTAGATGTTAAGAACATCTTTCCTTATCTCCTATGTGAAGAATTGTTTATCTTTAAATATCACCATTCAACATATCTCCTATATTTAGAGTTTAGGAAAATGAGCTGGCTTTTCCCTAGGTGGTTGAAATCAATCCTACTTGTTAATCAATGTGAGTAGCCCACAAATAACACCTTCTCCGAGTGAAAGACCAGGATCTTGATGTAGCTGCAGGTTACTAAGGAAGAGTTCCAGCCATCAACTTCAGAGTCCAATGGAGATATTAGCATGAAGCCAATTATCTTAGCATTCAGAGGGTTATAAAAGATGTGCTCCAACTCTAGCTGAGGTGGAGCTAGAGGTCAGAGGAGCTGCAGAAAAGGTCAAAAAGACTGGACATTTGAATTGAGGTTTGAAAGATGAGAAAGAAATTGCAAGGCAAAGAATCAGGGTCAGAAGGGAACCATGAATGAAAAGAATAGGAATATATATGAGAGAGGATAGTACCTTAGGTGAACTCAACTCATTTAGGGGAAGCTGAGAATGGAGAGGCATAAATTGAGGCTGAAAAGGTTACTGGAATGTTGTGCTAATTAAAGGGTTCAGACAATCTCATGGTGGCTAGGGAGACATTAAACTTTTAAGCAAGGAGGGTGGCAAAGTGAGGTTTTATTTTTGGAAAGACCAATCAGGCAAGAAGAGGAAGGAAGGAGACACTGACTGGAAGTGTCTGGCCAAGAGGTTACTGCAAAAGAAAAGTATCCAGCACGCTGGGCTCGGTGGCTCATGCCCGTAATCCCAGCACTTTGGGAGGCAGAGGTGGGCGGGTCACCTGAGGTCAGGAGTCCTAGACCAGCCTGGCCAACATGGTGAAACCCCATCTCTACAAAAAATACAAAAATTAGCCAGGCGTGGTGGTGGGTGTCCATAACCTCAGCTACTTGGGAGGCTGAGGCAGGAGAATCACTTGAACCCGGGAGGCAGAGGTTGCAGTGAGCCGAGATCATGCCACTGTACTCCAGCCTGAGAGACAGAGCAAGACTCCACCTCAAAAAAAAGAAAAGACAGAAAGTAAAAAGAAAAAAAAAAAAAATCACCCAGCAAAGCAATACAAGAGTCCTGCAGTAATTAAGTGTCTTGGGGCTAGGAAGATGGGACAAATTTAAGAGATGTTGAGAAAGTAAAATTACCAGACCTTGACAAGCCTTTAGTTGCACAGAGTAGGAGTAAAGAAGATTAGATAAACCTGGCTCCCAGATTTTCTCTGGTACTGAAGACTATGTACATACCTTTAACCAAATGCTTGCAACGCAAAAGAGAATGAGCTTAGTTCCACCTGCTGAGTTGAGAGTTGTACAGATGGAAAGATCCATAAACAGTACATTCAACACATATTTAGTGAGGATCTGGTCTGTTCAGGTGGTGCTGGGCCCTGGGTATAGTAGATATTTATTGATGATGAACAAAACAGACATGTCTTCTATTCTCATGGAAGTTTAGATTTCTCACAGTGCAAAGGCAGATCTCGAGTAGAGAAAAGGGTGCCTTCAGAGAATGAATTCATTCTCCATTGGTTCATTTCCCCCAAAACTATTTTCCAAAACAGCCAGAACATTGCACACTTAGATACTCTTGTGATGTCTAGTTCAGTGTTCTTTCATTGATTTCTTTCGCTCATTCATCAACAGGTATTTATGAAGTGCACTAGGCACAATATTGGACCCTATGCCAGGCATTCTTGCTGCTGGAAAATCTTAGTACCATGGCAAGCACACTGGACTGGGGAGCAGACTTTGTTTGCTCTTAACTCATTCTGCCAAGCTTGCAAAAGTCACTGGATTTACTTTACCAGTGAACAAACATAATTGTTCAGATCAATGATTGCAAACTGCACCCTGCATGACAAAGCCAAGGTCTAATTAGAGGCCAGACCCCCTTGGGGAAAAAAGAGAGAAGAGGGAAAGAGGGTCCTGTTAGTAGTGTGATTATACTCACCCTCAGATAAGCTTTGCTTTTATCTGTATGACACATTTCACCTAAAGTAGGATTTTCTTTGAATACAAATAGGTTTCTGGCAGGGCACAGTGGCTCACGTCTGTAATCCCAGCACTTTGGGAAGCTGAGGTGGGTGGATCACTTGAGATCAGGAGTTTGAGCAGCCTGCACAACATGGTGAAACCTCGTTTCCACTAAAAATACAAAAATTAGCTGGGCACGGTGGAGCGCACCTGTAATCCCAGCTACTTGGGAGACTGAGGCACGAGAATCGCTTGAACCCAGGAGAGGAAGTTTGCAGTAAGCTGAGATCGCACCACTGCACTCTAGCTTGGGCGATGCAGAGAGACTCCATCTCAAATAAAATAAAATATAATAAGTAAAAATAAAAGTAGGACTCTGAATCTTAAAAAGTTAAAAATCCATTGAGTTGGATGATTTCTAAGATTCCTTAAAATTCTAAAATGCTATACTGTGCATTTTCCACATGGAAAGGCTTTAACAAATGGGGATAGGTCCCCAGGTCAACACACTACAGCTTACTTGACCTATAATATGTCTGAAATTAATATGTAATTTCAATTACATATTATTTGCATATTACATATTAATTGCATATTACATATCAATATGCAATTTCAATATGTAATATGAAAATAATATGTAGCACCAAAAGGTACAGTCTGAAAAAAGAGTGTTGGAAACAAGAAAAATTGTAGCAAGGAAAGGATGTAAAGCATTTAATGCCGTCTCTGGGGCATTAGAGAGTTTGTGGTTTTACAGCGTTGCTTTGGCATCTGCTATTGTGTGAATATGGTTTGTTTTTTGTTTTTTGTTATTTTTGTCTGTTTGTTTGTTTGTTTTTTGCCCTGTGGAATCTCATGGTGAAATCTGGTCCCCAATGTTGGAGGTGGGGCCTGGTGGGAGGTGTTTGGATCCTGAGGTCAGATCCCTCATGGATGCCTTAGTGCCATTCTCATGGGAGTAAGTGAATTATCACTCTTGTTCCCTGAGAACTTTTTGTTGAAGAAAGCCTGGCACCTCCTCCTCTCTCCCTCGCTCTCTCTCTCTCTCTCTCTCTCTCTCTCGCTGCTTTTCTCATCATGGGTTCCCTGCTTCCCTTCACCTTCCACCATGAGTGGAAGCTTCCTGAAGCCTTCATCAGATGTAGATGTTGGCGCCATGCTTTTTTGATAGCCTGCAGAATCATGAACCAAATAAGCCTCTTTTCTGTATAAATTACCCAGCCTTAAGTATTTCTTTATAGCAACAGAAATGGACTAAGACAGCATTTTCAGCCTTCTCTTTACCAGTCTCTCTTACCTTCCTAATGACTTCTAGTGCCATTATGAAACCTTTTACCTCCCGTCTTCCTGCCCACTGGACCACTCTACAATGCAAATACTCACTATCCCCAACACTGCTTACTTTCTTCTCCCAGACTCTCCCCTGCACCTTGCACCCTCAATTAAACTTATGTTTCTTCAATGCAGCTAATTTCATTTAGATGTTAAGAAGACAGAAATCTAAACTAATTCATTTCTATTAACCTGAGAGTTTCTGACTCTACTGAAGGTACTTATATTTTTACAAAGTAATATTAGCTAATTCAATGAATGCCTA